>NC_000003.12:143402543-143705574 GCF_000001405.40 Homo sapiens
GTTGAGTGCATCTATGTTTATAATGGTTATATATTCCAAATGAATTAACCCTTTCATTATTATAAAGTGTTCCTTTTCATCTCTCCATATGTCATAAGTCTATTTGTCTGATATTAGTATACTACTCCAGATCTCTTGTGGTTATTGTTTGCATGGTGTATCTTTTCCCATCCCCTTTCCCTTCAGGATATTTGTATCTTTGAATCTAGGTGAAATTAGTTTTTTTTTTTTTCAAATTCAGTCTGACAGTGTCTGCCTTTTGATTACATTGTTTAGTTCATTCACATTTAATGTTATTGATATAGTTGGATTTACTTCTTCCATTTTGCTATTTGTATCCTATGTTTATTTGTTGATTTTAAAAAATCATATTTTTTGTTATTTTCTTAGTGGTTGCTCTAGGTGTTACAATATACATCTCAACTTCTTAGACTCTGCTTTGGATTTATAATAACTCAATTCCAGTAAGATGTAGAACATTTGCTCCACTCTTACTTACTGAACCAGAAATAAGATTTAACAACATCCTTTGTGCTGTCATATATATTACATCTATATATGTTATAAACACAATTCGGTGTTGCTACTTTATATCAATCTTGCATCTTTTTAAAAAATTAAGAGTGAAAAAAGTATATTTACAAAGTTTTTCTATTAATCTTATTTACAACTTCTGTTACTCTTTATTTCTTCCTGTGGATTTGAGTTACTGTCTCATGCCACTTCCTTATTCCACTATAGCTTCCTTTCCTCACTCCTCATTTGTGCTATTATTGTCAAATACATATCTTTATATCCTATAGACACAATTGAATTTTATATTGTTTTTAGTTTTAAAAAGAAAGGAGATACAATATGTAATTATGCTGTTTTTTATAGTTAATACGTAGTTACCTTTGCCGGCACTTTTTTTTTTCCACGTGGATTTGAATTGCAGTCTTGTGTCATTTCCTTTCATTAAAAAAAACTTCCTTAGTAATTATTGTCAGGCAGGTATGCTAACAACAAATTCAGTCTTTATTTGGAAATGTGACTTTGTTTTCCTTTCTGAAAGATAGTTTTGCTGGGTATTGGCTTCTTGCTGATAGTTTTTTAAGCATTTTATGTTATCTCACTGCTTTGTGGACTTCATTAATTCTGATAAGAAGTCAGATATTCCTATTATTGGAGTTCTCTTGTGTGTGATGAATAACTTCTCTTATTGCACCCAAGATTTTCACTTTGTCTTTCAACACTTTGAGTATAATGTGTCTTGATATGGCTTTCGTTTTCCCTACTTGTAATTCACTGAACTTCTTGAAGGTGTGGATTGATTTTTAAAAATCATATTTGGGAGGTTTTCAGCCATTATTCCTTGGATTATTTTTTTCTGCCCTTTCTCTTCTCCTTCCAAAACTTCCATTACACACATGTTGGTGTTCCAAATGGTATCTCAGAGGTCTCTAATTATCCGCTCATTTTTTCTTCTTATTTTGTTCTTCTGATTATATACTTTCTAATGATGTATCATCAAGTTCACTGACTATTTCTTTTTCTAGCTCAAATATATAGTTGGGCCCTTTTAGGAAATTTTTCATTTGTTATTATACTTTCACCTCAAGAATTTTTAATTTTTTGTATAATTTTTCTTTTTTCTTTTTTTTTTTTGGAGACAGAGTCTCACTCTGTCACCCAGGCTAGAGCGCAGTGGCGTGATCTGAGCTCACTGCAACTTCTGCCTCCTGGGTTTGAGTGATTCTCCTGCCTCAGCCTCCCGAGTAGCTGGGATTACAGGTGCCTGCCACCACACCTAATTTTTTTGTATTTTTAGTAGAGACAGGTTCTCACCATGTTGGCTAGGCTGGTCTCAAACTCCTGACCTCAGGTGATCTGCCTGCCTCAGCCTCCCATTTGATAAATTAGCATTATCATTCTTTTACTTCTTTAAACATGGCTTTTGTTAGTTCTTTAAACATATTTCTAATAGCTGCTTTGAAGTCTTTGTTTTCTAAGTTCCGCATCTGTGCCCCCTCAAAAGCAGTTTGCATTCCCCTAGCCCGCCCCACACATACTCTTTTTTCCCCCTCTTTATTCCTGTACAAGGGCTGCACTAATCTACCTCTTTCCATGTATATGTATTTTTTTGGTCAAAAACTGGACATTTTAGGTAATACACTGTAGCAATTTTGGATTCTCATTAGCCTCCTCCCCCATACCCATGGCATGTTGATAATTCCTGGTTTTGTTAATTTATTTAATGGCTTGCCTAGACAAATTGTTGGAAGTCTATTTTCCTTGCCTTGTGCAGCCTCTGATGGTTACTGCTCAGTTTTCTTTCTCCTTTGTTTTTAAGTCTTCCTAAAAGATGTCCCTGGATCAGCGTAGCTTAATGTTCAGTTCGTGTTATTTTGGTCATAAGTTATGCTTAAGCCTCTTAAGTCAGAAAGTCTTTTCCTCTTGCTGATGGATCTTTGTGTGGCTTGGGGAATGCTGTCAAAACAGCCCCACTTTCATCCAGGCACTAGTAGCTCTCAGGGGCATCCAAGGGGGTGTAACCCAGCACCTTTGGACCCCCAGGCATGAATGTGATCCCAGAAGGGCCTTTTTTGTCTGTCTTTTTCCCTGTTTTATCTGTTGAACTTTGGCTGGTCTGCCTTTTTGTTTGTTGCTAGTTGTTTCAAGTGCTATTAGTCTCCACTTCATTGCTTGCCACTGAGATGTCTATTCATTTCAAAAAAACCTGAAGGCATAAGTTCCTCCCTGCTCCATTCCAAGTCAACTCTCTTGGCAGGGCTGTGGAGCCGTAGACCTCCCATTTTACCTCTCTTGGATTGATAATATCTACCCTACAAGCAAGCAGTCGGGGAGAGGATGGTGGGTCCCATCTTCTTGGCTGGGCCTACTTTTGTGGATACTCTACCCTCTGAGCAGAAGCTGGGAGAGGAGGTGATAGCCCCACAGTCTTCTCAGTTTTTCCCTCCTGAAATGGCACCTCTGTCTATGAGTAGAAGCTGAAAAGGTGGTGATTGGGTCCCCAATATTCTCAGCCTGCTGCATGTGGGATAGAACCTCTATCATATAGGTGGGGAAAGGGAGCATTATTTTTTAAAACTGCATACACTCAGAGCATTTGCAACACAGAGCTGAGGGTGGGATGGGAAACACTAGTGGTCTGCCTCTCCCAGGGTGAAACCAGAGCTCTCTGACGGGGAACAGGAGGAGCTCCTGTATTCTTGGTTGTATTCATTGGGAGTAGTGTTTTCATAACATTGAAACAGCAGTGGAGGGAGAACAGCATATTCTGGCACAAATGTCACAAACTTGACATTCTAACTAAAATTGAATAGATTTTCTTGAACAAATGCTTCTGGATTCTCTACATACCTTTAGATCAATTTCTAGAGACTTTAAACGTTTTATTTTATAATTTTCACTGGTTTAAATGCCTTTTTTGTTGAAGAGAATGTCTGCCAAGCTCTGCACAGAGGCATTCTGGAAGTCTTGCTTAATTGATGTTTTACAAGCTTAGTTTTATTTTAAAAGCAATAATGTCTATGAAATCTTGTTGATATGCTAGCTAATGTGTTAATACCTCTTAACACTCAGGGTACTATAGGATTCATTGGGCCTATTTTAGTTTTGGGGTTTCTCTTTTGAGTAGTTCTACTTGTAAGTAAGTATTGATATTTTATGACTTTTTAAATTATTTCCCATAAATCTTTCAAAACACATAGAGAAAGCTTACTTATTTAAAACGGAGAATAATACTCATTTTGTTTTGTAATTCACATAGATCCAGTGGACTGTTTTTGAAATCTAAGATACATTATAGGATCACTAAGATTTTATTTTTCCTGTATCTTTTTTTTTTTGAGATGGAATCTCACTCTTGTCGCCCAAGGTGGAGTGCAATGGCGCGATCTCGACTCACTGCAACCTCCGCCTCCTGGGTTCAAGTGATTCTCCTGTCCCAGCCTCCCGAGTAGCTGGGATCACAGGTGCTTGCCTTTGTATTTTTAGTAAAGACAGGGTTTCACCATGTTGGTCAAGCTGGTCTTGAACTCCTGACCTCAGGTTTTTCCTGTATCTTAAAAAGTATGCTATTTCTTCATTCTAGGAATTATTTCATCATTACTCATTATTCCCAATGATGCTAAAAAAGACCAAATTAGGCCGGGCATGGTGGCTCACGCCTGTGATCCCAGCACTTTGGAAGGCCAAGGCCGGGAGATCACCTAAGGTCAGGAGTTCGAGACCAGCCTGGCCAACATGGCAAAACCCTGTCTCTACTAAAAACACAAAAGTTAGCCAGGCATGGTGGCGCATGCCTGTAACCCCAGCTACTTGGGTGGCTGAGGCAGGAGAATTGCTTGAACCTGGGAGGCAGAGGTTGCAGCGAGCCAAGGTTGTGCCACTGCACTCCAGCCTGGGCAACAGAGTGAAACTCCATCTCGAGAAAAAAAAAAAAAAAAAAGAAAAAGAAAAGAAAAAATACCAAATTAATATGAAAATAAAAAGATTAATGGTACTACCTAGATATAATAGTGAAATGAATCATCTTTATTATCCTTCAGTTTTATTATGTCGCCTAAAGTATCACATCAACTGTCAAAAGGATAAAACAGGAAATATTCTCTTTGTAGTCTACTTTTAGCTTTCACAGAACACAATTGAGAATTCAGATCTCATTTCTCATTTCTTACCTATATGGCAAAAATAACAACATTTACAAAAATCCATTTCAAAATTATTAGACAATATGAGAAGACAAATGCAAAGATACAGCAGGACTCTATACTGTAAGGATGATAGTCAAATTGAGTGGCAAAATCTTAGGCTATGATACTGCAGCTGACAATATCCTAGGTGATTTTTTTCTTTGAACTCAAGAATCTATGCATCTGTAATACAATTCTAAGAAAAAAAAGAGGAAATATGCCATTCTTATCCAGTTATTGAATAAAAACTTTATGTAACATTTTGTAATATCCCACGTTTTTAAAAGAACATATCCATTATCCTTTTATTTTTATGATGTTTTGTGCAGTTGTTCATCTTTAACCAGGGCCTATGGGTTCTCTTAATTTCAGAGAATTGCAAGTTGAGGCTGACAAGGATCTTTAGAATCAGAGTCAGGGCCTAAAAATCCTAGAGTTCATTTCAAAGTCCATTCCAGTTCATGACTCAAGTTCCTCCCATGGAAAAGTGATGGTCAGGATAGGGAAGGAGTTTAAATAATGTCATGATCAAAATTAACTAAAGCAATGTGCTTCTGAAATTTTAATATGCATACTCATTACCTGAGGATCTTGTTAGGATAAAGACTTTGAATCAGTAGGTATATTAGCAGCTTGAGCTACCGTAACAAATTACCATAAACTGGAAATGGATGGTTCAAACAGAAATTTGTTTCTCACAGTTCTGAGGATTGGGAAGCCCAGGATCAAGATGCTGGCCAATTAAGTTCCTGCGGAGGGCTTTTCTTGTGGGTTGCAGATGGTGGCCTTCTCATTGTGTGCTCACCTGACTTTTTTTCTTTGAACACACATGCTGAGAGAGACAGCACTCTCTTATAAGGACACTAATTCTATCAGATCGGGGCCCAATGTTTATGCTTTCATTTAATCTAATTACCTGTTTATAAGCCCTATCTTTATAGTTACATTGGGCATTAGAATCTGGCTGGGGGATGTGATTCAGTCCATAGCAGTAGGTACTGTTGGGGTCTGAGATTCTTTCTGCATTTCTAACAAACTCTTAGGTGATTTGGATGCTGGTGGTCTTTGGACCACATATTGCATATTGGGGCTCTGAAGCCAAAGGCCCTAGGTTCTGCTACAGGACAGAGTGAGGGTATTCAATGATGATGAGCAGGACAACTCACAGCTAGCAATGTTCATAAGGCCTGTTCAGAAATAATGCTGCTGCTATTAGCACTGTATAATATTTATATGTAAGATGTCACCAAAGAAAGCATGAAGACATGAAGAGAATCCCACAATGGCAGCCAATTATTCAAGAAATAACCTCAGGTGAAACCGCCTCGAGCAGGGTGTCTTTCAGATACCTGAACCTTTTCTAAGCTATGCGAAATTCTCCAGATTAAATGTTCCACCCCTCCAAATCTGAAAGTCTATTTCCAAAATCCCCTTCTTTGGAACATTATTAAAAGTATGTTTTCAGCTAATGCAAAGAGACAAAAACATGAGTATCATAACAAGCAAGTAATGTTAGTACATAGAAGGAAAATAAAACCTCACCTAAATTTCCAAATTGGTACTTTTATTCACTCTAAAGAGGTATGTGCAGCTTAAAAAAAATCAAGAATTGGGCCATTTTGCCATCATTTTATTTGGACTGCTAATGAGCATCACTAGCCAGGAAACATGGGAACTGACTTTACAAAAGATCTGCATAAAAATAAAAGGAAAAGGAAAAGACAAAAGAACCCCTGCCGGGACCGCATTTTGACAATTTCTTGCAAGAGAGGCTAGTTAATTCTGGGATCAGAAATACCAGTTTTCTCTAGTGATTATGTCAGTGGTTCTCAGAACTACTTTGGATATCTGCGCCTTTCTTTTCCTGGAGCATGAATTGGGCTTGTTTGGATGTGAGGTCAGGCCATAGTGCCCATATTCAGTTACCACCACTGGTATTAACTCAAAATAAAGCTCTGGAGGCTTCAACTGTAAATAGTGTAATATCCTTCTATTTATTCTGATTGAAATATGGCAAGCACAAAAATAGTTATCTGATCTTCCATGGCTTGAACATGAGACAATCGTTTTTGGGATAATGCACAGACATTTTCAGGCACAGGTGACACAGCAAGAAGGAGTAACTTGAGGTCTCCATATTATAAGCACCTCTGAGAGTCTAGAATGAATGATGGCTTAGCTGCTCAGTCCTTTGTTTCCATAGCCTCAAACAGTACACCAGAAAAGCTTAAAATCTGCTGCCAGTATTCAATGTTTCCATTTCATTCCGCTTAAACCTTACCAAGGGCTAAGTTAACAAGGCACAAATCAGTGGTAGAGGATTAAGCAAATATACTTTGCCTGAAGCTATCCTTCTGCATCAAAGAGAAAGTCAAGATGGTCTAAGTAGAAGCACAGGATAGAAGCGATTCTTTCCAGCATTTTCTCTGCCTGGTTCTGTTTTCCAAGTGAATATTATTATTGAGCTGCTGCTTTTCCTAGAAGCTATGCAGGAAGATTAACTTGGATAGAAGCAAGAACGTTTGTTAGCAGATTTGTTTAAAAGAGTTATCTTAATATTAAGAGATCTTGACCAGCAATTCTTTTGATTCCCAAGATCGAAATTTCTTGGTGATGTGTTGCTGGGGTTCTGGGCTGCAGGAACAGCAGGAGAAGAAGGACAATGAAAACTTAGATTGAGCTGAAGTGCTACAGTTGAATTTAACAGTCATTGAACAGCAACTGAGATTGTGTTTAACTACTTCAGGGACACGTCTCTTGAGAAGTTCACTTGTTTCCTAAGTAGGGCATTTGAGTTGAATAATAAAGCCCATTTGAAGAAATGCGGACTTTGTCTCTTTCTACCCCTTAACTCCCTGTCCCAATCTCCTAGGATAGCCCCTCTGAATTGTAGTAGAGGAGAGGGTTGGAGAGGATAGAGCCTTCTCTCTCACATCAGGGCCCACACTGGACTTCTCCATGATCAGCCTAAATTAAACGGTTTTTTGCTTATTTGTTGCCTTGAGATGCTAACTGCAGCCCTGTACTGGGGACACAAAAATCTGGGGTAAGCAGGGCTATAATAGATTTATAGTGAGTATGGCACCTCTTACAGCCCCCTGCCTGCTTCAGGCATCTCCAACTCCCTGTATTCAAAATTCAACTTGTCTGACCTCTCAAACTTAGTCTTTCTTCTCCATTCTCTCATATATTAATAATATCACCTTCCACCTCATTACCCAAGCCCAAATTCTTACTCATCTTCGACTTCTCTTACTTCCTATTTTCTACTTCTAGATGTCAGGATCATTTCACTTCCAAAACAGCTTCTGAATCCAGCTCTTCATTTTGATCCTGCTGCTTCTGTATCTCAGGACTTTATTATATTGCTGCAGAATTATTTCTACCCTTTATCTTAGGGCATTGCTGCCAGAATTGTCTTCTTTTGCACTTTACTATTCTTCTTCTAATTCCTTAAGTGGTATACATAAATTTTATTTATTTTCAGTCTTTTTTTACTTTCATTTTAATTTATCTAATATACTAAAAGTATTTAAGACTGCATATTTCCCTTTGAGTACAATTTAGCTGTGTCCTATACACTTTGGTATGAATGTTTTCTTTTTTCTTACTGACTAGATAACATTAAATTTTAGCGAGGATTTTCCTATTATTCAAGAGATAATTTAAAATAATGTTTCTTAATTTGCAAGTAATTAAACCTTTTTTGGTAATCATTTGTTGTTGATGACTTACAATACAACTGGATTATAATTAGAGAATAGGGCCTCTAATATAACTCTTTTGTCCTTCCAGCTGAATAATACTTTGGCTGGATGTAGAATTTTAGAATTATGTTTTTAACAATCCTTATAAATTTATTAAGAATTTCTTTATGTCTACAGGTGTCATTTCGGTGTTCTCTACATTCTAGTGTTTTAGATAATCAGTAAGTAACCTGTTCTATCAGAAGGTCTGTAAGATTTTTTTTCCCCTCTTTGAGATGTGGGAATTTCACCAAAGTATGTCTAAGGTTTGTTTGTTTTTCCTCTTAATTCATCCTCTAAGGCTCAGTGGGCCTTTTAATCTAAAGGACCAAATATTTCTTTAGCTTGGGTCCTACATTCAATTTTTCCTTCTGCTTTTGGCTTACCACTTTCCTTCCACCTGCTACTTCATATCTTCTGCATTCCCATGGTTAATATGGTAGATCCTCTGAATTTGTTCTCCAAGTCTCTTTTATTTTTCCACGATTTCTACTTTTGAGGGCTAGTTCTGTGTCTTGAGGTATTTAACTCGATCTTCCAGAACACGAACTCTATTCTCAGCAGTGAGCATTCATTTTTACAATTTGTCGACTGAATTTAAAAAATTCAGAAATATCATTCTTAGTTCTAGAAAGCCCTTCCTGTACTCTAATTATATCTTTGTTCTAATTACTTTTATTAATGTCTTCTCTCTTTCCATTAGTTCTACTATAAATAACGCTGCCATCCCTGGTTGCTCAGCCAGGTCTCTCTTCCCCTGGTTACAAGAGTCCTCTTAAGCTGGTTGCAATTTTTAATTGTTTTTTTCATTGCCTATTCATTTTTGTGTGCTCCCTCAATACCTGTACAGGTCTGCCTGTTGGGGTATTCTATCAGACAGGGCAGGGGTACAGAGGCAGGAGGTATGCCGGTAACTATTCTTGTGGGCCAGTGAACAACAAGCAGACAAACTGTTGCCCTTCTGCTAAGGCACTGATTGAATCCTTCCAAACTGGGACCAATACTGCCTATCGGGGAAGTCCCATTTCAGTCCGGGAGGGCCAGTAGTCAGTATGACTTGGTAACCTCATCAAATTCCACACCCTGTAGTCAGGAGAGACATAGTCCCCTACTAAGGGGACAGACAGATGAGCTCCTTCAGGGAACTACAAAATCTAAGGCCTTCTCTTTGAAGAAGGGTGAGACTCCTCCTCTGCTGCTGGCTGCCAGGTGTTGCAAGATGCAATGGAACCAGAAGTCCTGAACTTGCTCTCCCTGACAGGTCCTCTGGACTCTCTAACCTCACTTTTGTTGGCCCCCGAGAAGGAAGTGAAAAAGACAGGGGGCAAGGGCTGTGGTTTGTCTCTGGCAGCCATCTTCTCAGAATCCATGTTGTCTCCTAAAGTGCAGGCGTGATGACCCCAACACCCTCAGTGGCCCTGCACCTTCTACAGCACAGCATCTGACCACTAATGCTTTTGAGCTATGCCCTCCCCCGGCTGGAGTTATCAGACCAGGCTCCTTCTCCGGTGTTTGCCATCATGCCAAGCTCCTCACATTCCCCAGATCCACACTGCAAATCCCTCAGACTCTCTCTGTACACAGTCCCCCACATCTGGAAGTCCCATCACTTTCCCTGTCTCTGACTTTTGGAATTCTTTTCACTCTCTAATCCAGGTGCCACTTTTTACAGGAAGCATCAGTTGGAATTTATTCCTCCCTCTTTAGCGCCATCAGAGTTCTTGTTTGTTCCTTAGTGGCAGCACATAATCTGCCTTTTCTTAGATTTTCTGTGCAACCGTCTCCCTCTTCCACCCCAAACTCTAAATAACGTGAAGGCAGGTTCCAGGTCTGGATCTTTCTTCTCTCTTCCCACAGTGTCTTACATGAAATGTGCCCAGGCTTTGTAGCAGGAATTGACAATGGCAAGCAGTTACACTGGATATTAGTGGACCAATTCTGATTTTTTCTTACTCTAGGTGGGAGAAAGGGCCAGGAAGCTCTGGCTAAAGTTTTAAACAGAGGAACTGGTCCTGAACATCCAGGGATTTGTGGGCTTTCCCTTACAGAAAACGCCTCTGAATCCTACAGGAGGAACTTCTAATTATTTTCTCCCACCTCATGGTGATGTTATTGAACAGAGAGCAACGGGGTGTGGAATAACAGGGACCGTGGTTCTCTATAGCTGCTGAATTTCATGGAGTGCCTCCTTCTCAATTGCCTGGGAGTGTGAAGGCAGTAAAGCAGAAGATGGCTGACTTAGGAAAGACCCAGCCCAGAGGTGTGTGCTTTTCCAAAGACTTGTCACAATAAGGACCAAGGAAGATGAACTGTGAGGGGGAAATGCCTCTGACACTTCAGGAAGTTTGAAAAGATGCATTATGCTGAGAGGTACAGTCCTGGGGGATGTTCAAGAGTTGGGGGTTGCCGTTTCAAAGGTGGCTCATTATACTAAAACAAGACTCACCCACTCATTCCCGATTACAGACTCCCACCTCAGAGAGATATGCTGGAAATGGTGGTGGGGCAGTGGGAGCCACTGTACAAGAGTGGTCCTGTGGGAGAAGGGGAGGCAGCTGGCGGAAAGAGGAACCACAACTTTAAATAACTCTAGAGAACTCTTCACCTGTCACCAGACCTCTATGTGACTCGGGAATGAGCAAAGAAAAGGCTGTCAGCTCTGTCCTTGACCTAGTCTCAACCATGGCTCTCCTTGTGAGCCCCTTGAAGTAGTTGTTCTCACTGTACCATTTTCTTGCTGTTGCTCTGGAAGCCATATTGCAGGCACCAAAGTACAGAGATCAGTATTATTAACTGTGTGTGTGTGTGTGTGTGTGTGTGTACGTGCGTGCGCATGCATGTACATGCATGTGTGTTATGGTAAAGGTATGTTAGCATGCTCTAAGCAGTCTTACGTGGGTGAAAATATACTGGCTTTTTCTGGTGAGGGGCCTGTGCCCCCTTTAAAAATCCCATTAAACACACTGTCACCTCAAATAGACCATTTAAAGGCAAGGGCCAGTGCCTGGCCCAGGGCTAGACACATAGCAGGCACTTGAAAAATGTGCTGAAAATGAAATAGTCAGTGTTTGGTGGAAAGGCAGGAATTCAGTCTGATTTTTTCTTGTCAGCTTTCACATGATTTATCAATTGCATTTCAATTCCTCTTTCCCTTTTCACAATTCCTGTCACTTGTGTATGTGTGTAGGTATACCTGCATTTGTGTGTATATTTGTACATGTGTGCACCTGTATAGAAGTCTGTGTGTATGTATCTTATGTGTGTATGTCTATGTATCTGTCAATATGTGTATATGTCTGCATATCTATGTGTATCTGTATATTTTCATTGTGTTTGTGGTTCTGTATGTATGTGTGTACAAGCAAATCTTGCTTTATTAAGTTTTGTTTTCTTGCACTTTGCAGATATTGCATTTTTAACAAACTGCAAGTTTGTGGCAACTGTATGTTGAGCAAATCTACTGGCACAATATTTCCAGTAGAATGTGCTCTTTTCAGGTCTCTGTATTACACTTTGGTGTTTTAGAGATATTTCAAACATTTCATCATTATCATATCTGTTATGGTGATTTGTATCCAGTGATCTTTGATGTTACTGTTTTGTAATTGTTCTGGGACACCACAGACATTGCCCATAAAAGATAGCAAACTTAATGGATAAATGTGTGTGTGTTCTGACTGGTCCACTTGCTAGCTGTTTCCCTCTCTCTCTCTCTCCTCAGGCCAGCCTATTCCCTGAGACAGCAGTATTGAAATTAAGCCAATTAACATCACTACCATGGCCTCTAAGTGTTTAAGTGAAAGGAAGAGTCACATGTCTCTCACTTTAAATCAAAAGCTAGAAATGATTAAGCTTAGCGAGGAAGGCATATTGAAAGCCAAGGTAGGCTGAGAGCTAGGCCTCTTACACCAAACAGCCAAATTGTGAATGCAAAGGAAGAGTTCTTGAAGGAAGTTAAAGATGCTACTCCTGGGAACACACCGATGGCAAGAAAGTGAAACAGGCTTATTACTGAAAGGCAGGAAGTTTTAGCCATCTGGATAGAAGATGAAAACAGCCACACTATTCCCTTGAGCCAAGGCCTAACCCAGAGGGGGGCCCTAACTCTCTTCAATTCTGTGAAGATTGAGAGGGGTGAGGAAACTGCAGAAGAAAAGTTTGAAGCTAGCAGAAGCTAGCTCATAAGGTTTAAGGAAAGGAGCTATCTCCATAGCATAAAAGTTAAAGGGAAAGCAGCAAGTTATCCAGAAGATCTAGTTAAAATCATTGATGAAGGTGGCTACACTAAATAACAGATTGTCAATGTAGACAAAACGGTCTTACGTTGGAAAAAGATGCCATATAGGACTTTCATAGCTAGAGAAGAGAAGCCAAAGCCTGGCTTCAAAGCTTTAAAGGACAGGCTGATTCTCTTGTGAGGGGCTAATGCAGCCAGTGTCTTTAAGTTGATGCTGATGGTCATTTGCCATTCTGAAAATCCTAGGGCCATTAAGAGTTATGCTAAATTGACTCTGCCTATGTTATATAAATGGAACAACAAAGCCTGATGATGCCACATCTGTTTACAGCATGATTTACTGAACATTTTAAGCCCACTATTGAGATCTACTGCTCAGAAAAAGATTCCTTTCAAAACATTGCTACTCATTGACAATGCACCTAGTCACCTAAGAGCTCTGATAGGGATGTAAAAGGAGATTGATGTTTTTGTGGCTAATACAACATCAGCCAGTGAATTAAGGAATAATTTCAACTTTCAAGTCTTATTATATAAGAAATATATTTCATAAGGCTATAGCTGCCATAGATAGTGATTCCTCTGTCACTATCTGGGCAAAGCAAATTGAAGATTCCTCTATCTCTATCTGGGCAAAGCAAATTGAAGACCTTCTAGAAAGAATGCAGCATTCTGAATGCCATTAAGAACATTCATGATTCATGGAAGGAGGTCAAAACATCAACATTAATAGGCATTTGGAAGGAGTTGACTCCAACCCTCATGGATGACTCCTGGAGGGGGTTGGGGGAGTGGGGCTCAAGGTTTCAGTGGAGGAAGTAACACAGATGTGGTAGAAATAACAAGAGAACTAGAATTAGAAATGGAGCCTGAAGATGTGACCAAATTGCTGCAATCCCATGAGAAAACTTGAATAGATTAGGAATTGCTCCTTTTGGATGAGAAAAAATGTTTTGCTGAGAAGGATCTACTCCTGGTGAAGATGCCATGAACATGGTTGAAATAACAAAAAAGGGTTTAGTATATTATACAAACTTGATTGATAAAGCAGTGGCAGGGTTTGAGAGGGCTCCAAATTGGAAAGAAGTTCTATATGGATAAAATTCTATCAAGCAGCACTGCACGCTACAGAGAAATGTTTTGTGAAAGGGAGAGTCAATTGATGTGGCAAACCTCATGATTGTCTTATTTATAGATATTGCCACAGCCTCCCTAGCCTTCAGCAACCACCACCTCGATTAGTCAGCAGCCATCAACATTGAGGCAAGACCCTCCACCAGCAAAAAGATTACTACTACTCACTGAAGTATTAGATGATTAGCATTTTTTAGCAACAAAGTTTTTTTTTTAAGGTCTGGATATATATATTTTTAGACATACTGCTATTGCATACCAAATAAAACACAGCATTCTGTAAACCTAACTTTCATATGCACTGGGAAAATAAAAATGTTGTGTGACTGGGTTTATTGTGATATTCACTTTATTACAGTGGTTTGGAACTGAACCCACAATATCTCTGAGGTATGCTTGTACATCTGTATGTATATTTGTATATGTGCACATATTACATGTGTATATCTGTATATATGTGTATGTGTACATATGTGTGTATATGTCTACATGCATTCGCACGTATATACATATCAGATATCCACTATGAGTGGGAAATCAAATCATTTCATCATAGGAGCTAGACTGAAAAGAGTCTAAATGCCATCTTGCTTGAGTTTATTCCCTGAGTCTTACAGCACTGCTGGAGGAGGATGGGGAAAGGATAAAGAAGAGGTAGTTATTTTGGTGGGATGGGGTATAGGAGAACATACTGGTATGCTGACGTTTGCCAATCAGTCTAAAGAGAGATACTGATGATATAGGAGAGAAGGAAGGGATAGCTAAGGAAAGGGAGTGAGAAGGGAGAGAATCTATTGCTCAGGGGAGGAGTCTGCCTTCAACAGGAGAATGGGCGAGTCTTCTACTAGTTTGGGAAGCTCTTTCCAAGTTGGGTGACACTGCTTCACTGCTCTCAGGACAGAAACTGTAGTGGCAGACTTTGAAATGCCCCTACTATGGACTGAAATTTGCCTTCCCCCCAAAGTTTACATGTTGAATTCCCAACCCCCAACATGCCTGTATTTTGGGATAGAACTTTTAGGACACAGTTAAGGTTAAATTAGTTCATAATGGTAGGGTCCTAATTTGGTAGGACTGGTGTCCTTATAAGAGAGAGGGAGGGGAAGAGAGGGAAAGGGAGAATGGAGCGGGGGGAGAGGGAGGGAGGAGGGGGAGAAAGGGATGGATGGAGGGAAAAAGGGATGGATGGAGGGAGGGAAAAAGGGATGGATGGAGAGAGAGAGAGGGAGAGATCAGCCCCTGTCTCTCCACATGGAAGCACCAAGAAAAGACCGTGTGAGGACAGTGAGAAGGTGGCTGTCAGCAAGTCAGGAGGAGAGCCCACACCAGGAACAGACTCTGCCAGCACTTTGATATTGGTCATCTCTGACTCCAGAACCGTAAGTAATAAGTGTCTGTTGTTTAAGGCACCTGGTCTATGGTATTCTGTTCTGGAAGTCCGAGAAGACTAAGGCATTCTTCAATAACTCCCCCCATATGGCCATGGAACTATGGAAGAGCATCCTTCAAGGCCTACAGAGCCTCTAAGGAGTATCAGGATTCTGTAGTTTTTGCTTTCCAGTTCAAAGAGCCTCATTCCATGCACTTCTTGTGGTCTGCTGCCATCCCATTCTACGTGGTTACTCAATCCCTCCATGTACTGCATTTAGAAAGCAGACCTAGCAAGAGAGTCTGTTTTGAGCACCAAAAAGTTGACATACAAATCTATGTCAAAAGTTGGCATACAAATCTCTGGACCAGATGCCCAGATTATCACTCACTAGTCACAAAACTAGTAAGTGATAATCCGGGCATCTGGTCCAGAGATTGAATTCTTAACTCCATCCAGCCTTACCATGAAGACTAGGTAGCAGATGTGGGAGGAGGAAATAAGGAATCATAACCTTAAAGCAGATTAAACTCGCTGTGCCTTAGTTTTCTTATTTGTAATGTGGGGACAGTAATATTATCTTTTTAGCCTTGTTGTAAAGAATAAGAAAGTTAATGTATCTGTGGTAAACAGTGTTGGCTCTTTTTTGCTGCCCTTCTCCCTCAAGTTCATCGCAGGTGATCCGAGGCAGTTTCTGAAGCAGAAGCAAGGACATCTGAGGTCTAAACATGAGCCTTTAAAAGAAATTACTTCTTGATTGTAACAGGAGAAGGAGATGGGAACAAGTGAAGCTGGGTGGCAGGTTTGAAGGTGGCAGGCGAGGGGTGGAAGGTGAGGAGGCCTGTTGGTTTCTGTATTCTTAAGTCAGTGTGAAACAAAGTCCTCAGCTGATGAGGAGCATGGAGAAGTGGCTGTGGTTGGTTTGTAAAGGATGCAGAAGGAATAAATTGTATGTCTAAGGGAAGGGCAAAATGAACCTTCTAGAGAAACCTAGTAAGCTTGCTGAGCAATATTGAGTGCCAATTTCAGTCTTGAGATCATGAATTTAAAGTGAAAACAGAGGCTTGATTGTGTGAATTTCTTCCAACATCCAGCAGCCCAGGTGCTGGCAGGGAGAAGGCATGGAGTTGCTTTCTGATTGATTGTCCTCATTTGCAGGGATGTGTGCCCACTGTGTACTGAAGTCTGCTTTTATACACAATGATTGTGCCAACTTTTCATAATGCATTACGTTAATAATGAAGGGAAATATACTAGAGTTCTCACCTTGCTGCAGCTTCATTTTCATTTTCTTGTCCCTTTCCCTTGATACTACATGTGTAAATTACCAGTTTACGGTAATTTAATTTGTGGAATGCTTTGGACCAAGAACCCATTTTCTTAGTTTATGTGACTTTGGTTACTATATTTTCTTTTCATTACCCTATTAGGGTCTTAATCTCTGCCAAAGCAACAAAGGCACAAGATGGTAATGAACGCTGATACTTACAAAGCACTTACTATGTGCCAGGCACCACTCTAAGCACCTCACGTAGAGAAACTCACTTATTTCTCACAACAATCCCATTTTGCAGGGGGGGCACAGAGAGCTTAAGTAACTTGCAAGAGGTCACACAGAGAGTATCAGAGCTAGAATTCAACCCAGGCAGCCTTGCCCTAAAATTCATGCTCAGTACCTCTAAGTTTCTCTAAGTCACTCTTGAAAATAAGGTAAAACATTTGTGTTTCTTTAAAATATTAACTTCCTAGAAAATTTATAATAGGCCCCATCTACCTCTAACGGTGCTATCTCCTTCCGTTTCTATCAGTTTACGTTTATCTCCCTCTTCCCCACGTCACTAAGGATAAAAATTACCAGTACCATCCATCCAGCCAGCTAGCCAGCATGTATTTATGAAGGCCTACCCTGTGTTAGCGTGGGTGAGATGAAGTTGACCAAAACACTCTCCTTATATCCCCAGAACTCACAGTCTAGCGGGGGATCCAGATAAATGAACAGGCAAGTTACAACAAAGGATGCAGATAAACCCCCACAGGCACAAGGCCCTATGAAAAACAAGATACAAAAAGGGAAAGAACAGGTTGATGATGCTGAATTTATTTCAGCCTCTGTGGGAGTCCTTTTAGTGTCTGAGCAGATGCCAACTCATCTGATTGTGTTGGAGAAATACTGTGGCAACAAGATGCCAAGGACTGTGGTCATTTTGTTCTTGCATTTCCCGAACACAGGGAGTATGGAATGCTGGGAACTAAAAGTGATATTCTGAGTTCACTTTTAGCAATTTTGTCTCTTTGTCTAAATGGGACATGGCCAGAGTTCCATGAATAAACTGGACAGGGTCATGTCCTAGGTGTGTTTCTGGCCATGATGGGTAATGTGACAGTGGGCTGAACAGAAAGAAGGCAGATTCTGGAGTCTCTTGCACATTGGGTCCAATCTGTACCCAGACATTTACTGGCTGTGTGGCCTTGGAGAAGACATTTAAGCTTTCTAAATGGCAGTGTTCTAATTTATGAAATGAAGAAAGTAATATCTTTCTTTAGGGACGTAGTAAGGATTAACAATGAGTTTGTAAAGTTCTTAGTACAATAGGCATCCAATCAACTGAAGCCATCAATATTTATTATTACACTTAAGCATGACAGTTAAAACTCTATGGCAAAATTTTCTTAAAAAGATCCTTTCTTGCCAGAGCAGTCATCTACCATCCTAGTTCTGCCTCATCTTGGGAATATCAGAAAGGGTGAAAATGCCTTCAATATGCGACTTATACACAATTGCTATCTTTTGAAGATTATCACTGGGCTGTACTGAAGAAGTGACATGATCATTTTAACTTGTGTTAGGTTGTTAACCTATACAATTACAGTTTATTATTACTATTATTATTATGTAATATTCTGGTGAGAAGAAAGGTGAGGGAAATCATTATTTGATTGTTTCTATCTATGAGGCATTGTGCCAAGTGGTTTTACATACATTTAAATATCACAGTTGCCCTGGGAGCTTGGTGGTAGCATTATTCACATTTTAAAGATCAAGAAACAAAGCTCAAATCAGGCAAGAGAAAGAAATACAAGGCATCTGAATACAAAAAGAAAAAGTCAAATTGTCTCTCTTTACTGAGTATATGATTCTATCATATCAGCAAAGAAAATCCTCAAGACTCTGCCAAAAGGCTCCTAGACCTGATAAACAATTTTGGTAAAGTTTCAGAATACAAAATCAATGTACAAAAATCAATACATTTCTATACACCAATAATGTCTAAGCTAAGAGCCGAATCTAGAATGCAATCCCATTTACAATGGCTAGACATAGATTAAAATACCTAGGAATACATCTAACCAAGGAGGTGAGGTGAGAGATCTCTACAAGAACTACAAAACACTACTGAAAGAAATCAGAGATGGCACAAATGGAAAAATATTTCATGCTAATGGATTGGAAGAATATTAAAATGGCCAAAGCAATCTACAGATTCAATGCTATTCCTATCAGACTACCAATGTCATTTTTCATAGAATTAGGAAAAACTATTCTAAAATTCATATGGAACCAAAAAGAGCCCAAATAGCTAAAGCAATCCTAGGCAAAAAGAACAAAGTTGAAGACATCACATTGTCTCACATGAAACTATAAGGCTACAGTAAGCAAAACAGCGTTGTACTGGTACAAAAACAGACACATAGACCAACTGAACAGAATAGAAAACTCAGAAATAAAGCCACACACCTACAACCAAAGTCAACAAAAATAAATAATGGGGAAAGGACCCTCTATTTAATAAATGATGCTGGAATGACTGACTAGCTACATGCAAAAGAATGAAAGTAGATCATCGTTTTCACTACAAAAATTAATCTAAGGTGAATTAAAAAACTAAGTGTAAAACTTCAAACTATAAAAACCCTAGAAAGAAACCCAGGAAATACCATTCTGGACATTGGCCTTGGCAAAGAATTTATGACTAAGCCCTTAAAAGCAAGTGCAACAAAAACAAAAATTGACAAGCAGAACTTAAACTAAAGAGCTTTTGCACAGCAAACGAAACTATCAACACAATAAACAGGCCACCCACAGAATAGGAGAAAATATTTGCAAACTATGCAGTCAACAAAGGTCTAATACCAGAATCTACAGGGAACTTAAACAACCAAACAAGCAAAAAACGAATAATCCCATGAAAAAGTGGACAAAAGGCATGAACAGAAACTTTTCAAGAGAAGACATTCAAGTGGACAATAAACATATGAAAAAATGCTGAACATCACTAATCAGAAAACGCAAATCAAAACCACAATATGATATTATCTCATGCCAGTCAGAATGGCTATGATTAAAAAGACAAACAAAAACAAAAACAAAACAGATGCTGGCAAGGGTGCAGAGAAAAGGGAACTCATACACTGTAGATGGGAATGTAAATTAGTTCAGTCACTGTGGACAGCAGTTTGGAGATTTCTCAAAGAACTTAAGACAGAACTACCAAATGGTTATCCCAGCAATCCTGTTACTAGGTATGTATCCAAAGGAAAATAAATTGTTCTACCAAAAAGACACATTCACTTTTGTGTTCATCGCAGCACTATTCACAAGAGCAAAGACATGGAATCAACCCAGGTGCCCATCAACGGTGGATTGGATAAAGAAAATGTGGTACATATACACTATAGAATATTATGCAGCCATAAAAAGAATGAAATCACATCTTTTGCAGCAACATGGATGCAGCTGGAGGCCATCATCCTTAGCGAGTTAACATAGGAACAGAAAACCAAATACATCTTCTTGCTTATAAGTGGGAGCTAAACACTGGGTACACATAGACATAAAGATGGGAACAATAGACACTGGAAACTACTAGAGGAGGGAGGGAGGAGGGAAGAAAGGGCTTAAAAGCTACCTATTGGGTCCTATGCTCATAACTTGGATGATGGGATCATTCATACCCCAAACTTCACCTATACTCATGTAACAGACCTGCATGTGTAACCCTGAATCTAAAATAAAAGTTGACATTATTTAAAAAAAGGAAACAAGGCTCAGAGCAGTTGTGTCACTGTTCAAGATCACACAGCCAGTGAGTATCAGAGCCAGTGTGGCCCTGGCCCTGTGCTCTTCCCTATACAGCCTTCTGAAACAGGTATTATTGTCACAGCTATTTACAGATGAAAAATGGCAAATCCAGAGTAGTTCAAGACTTGTTTAAGGTCATAGACATATTGGAGAGGAGATCCATGACCCAGTCCCTGAAGTCATCGACTTTTTCCTTGAGCCTCCTAGTGGCACGCAATATAGTAGAATGGTTAAGAACACAGGCTATTAGGTTTTTCACTGCCAGAGAAGGGAGTTAAAAATATGGAAAGGAAGAGACTAGAATGAACCCTGTGGTATTGAACTGGAATTGAAGGTATTAGAACACACACACAAATATACATGTAGAAATGAACATATATGTAAATCTCTACTTACCCTCACACACACGTACACACACACACACGTGTACACACGCGCGTGTACACACACACACACACACACACACACACACACACACACACAGAGTTCCTAATTCTTTTCACCAAAAGGGTCATTCATGAAGCAGCAGTGAGCACACCTAGCACCATATCTTGGCTTCTAAATACAATTCTTCATGTAAAGGAACCAGGGATCCTCAACAAAATGGTTGATTCCAAGGTCTGGAGCAAGTAAGGTACAAGATGAGCCCAAAACATCTCATTGCACCAATTAACAATAAAAAGGCTTTAAAATGATGAGAACATGTTAAGGGCGGAGCAGATGGATTAAAGGGGCTCCTAGTGGCCAAATTAAAGACAATTTGAACATCAAAATAAATAATGGTAGTTACAAATGAAAGTCCATTTAATAAAATGGAAAAGCATGAGTCCATGCTGATACAAATGAATAAATGAATGACTTGAAAGTTGATGAGGACTGAGATATTTATATAGCTTCAAAGTTCCTTTCTACAAAATACTTATTAATTATGGGGGGTAGAAAGAGTAACTTTACAGCAGAGAAACCTGGTTGACACCATCTTAATTAAGTGATCAAAATGCAGGTCACTAGTAACAGGACAAGTCCAAATCACGTGCCAACTGATGGCATGTGACAAGAAGAATGCAGCACTGCTTCTGTTTTTCCTGTCAGCAATGTACAGTCTGAATGTAATCATGAGGAAGTATCAGAAACACCCAGAATAAGGGATCTCTACAAAGTATCTGACCTGTAATCCTTAAAAATATCAAGGTCATGAAAGTTAATGAAAGATTTAGGAACTGTTCCAGATTAAAGGGGACTAAAGGGACACCAGTAAATGTAACACATGATTTTGAATTTCAGCCTTTTGATTTAAAGGGCTGAGTGAACATGTGAAACCTGAATGATTCTGGTGGTTGCATTGTGGTTACGTAGGATTCTGGTTTGTCATAATTAGATGTTAGTGTATTTGAAAGTGATGAAGGATCAAGTGAACAACTTACTGTGAAAAATTCAAGAAAAAAAGGACATTATACTTGAAACCTTTTTTTTTTTTTGAGACAGAGTCTCACTCTGTCACCCAGGCTGGAGTGCAGTAGCACGATCTCAGCTCATTGCAAGTTCCGCCTCCCGGGTTCACGCCATTCTCCTGCCTCAGCCTCCTGAGTAGCTGGGGAGTAGCTGGGACTACAGGCGCCCACCACCACACCCGGCTAATTTTTTGTATTTTTAGTAGAGACGGGGTTTCACTGTGTTAGCCAGGATGGTCTCAATCTCCTGACCTCATGATCCACCTGCCTCCGCCTCCCCAAGTGCTGGGTCTCAATCCCCTGACCTCATGATCCACCTGCCTCTGCCTCCCCAAGTGCTGGGTGATCCATCTGCCTCGGCCTCCCAAAGTGTTGGGATTACAGGCTTGAGCCACTGTGCCCGGCCTGAAACCTTTTAAAGTTTGATATTTTTCACAATAAAAAGTTATCTTCCCAAGAATCAAAAATCTCAAAACAAAAGCAAGAAAGAATACAGATGCTGCCAACAGGGAGAGGAGTGAGGTGGTTAAAAACACAGGTGCTGGGTTTTAATTTTAGCTTTGCCACTTATTAGCTATATGAAACTAGGCCTACGTTATCTGTGTCCCAATTTCCTGGTCTGTAAAATAGGGATGATAATAATAGCACCAACCTAGGGTCCTTGTGAATTTAATGAATTGGCAACCACACAGTACTTAATAGCATGAGTTCTATAATCAGTGCTGAATACTGTTTGTTGTTTTTATTAGAGGGAGGCAAAATATGATTCTATGTGATCCATTTTCCCCTCAGGGCATTTGCCAGGGAGAACAGTCTGTTGTGCTCCTTCTGACTTGTTTGGAAGGGTATACTTCAGCTAAAAACACTTGCCATGTGGTCAATCCAATTATTCAGGTAGAGGGTTATATATATCGATTTAATAAATGGAGGAAGTTTAAAATTAACAGATATGTTTATAATCATTTGGTGTACACTTAGTTTTGATGTGGGGACCAATGAGGCTTAGCTTTTTTTTTTTTTTTTTTTTTTTAAGTATAATCATCGTATCAGGACAAAATATTGTATTTGGAATAACCTGGGCATCAGGATGAAGAAAAAGTGATCACACTGACAAGATGTCTGTTAAGCTTTAAAAATATATATGTATGGTTTATTATAAAGAATTAAAGTATATCCACTACCAAGAATGGCTGTCGGTTAACAATGAACATTTTTAAATGGCAATTAAAACAATGTACTGGCTGGAATGGAAATATAGACAGCACTTTGATGTGGACTCTTTACATTTATTCCTTTTCTGCTCCTTGGGTACTTAATGTCAAACTGAAAAAATGAAATATAAGGGGCTGTTTGAGTTTGAGAATGGGTAGTGAGGCTAATATTTTGCAAGTCCTTTTTGATGCACACTTTTCTGGTCCATCTCCACTAATCAAATTCAGTTTCAAGAACCCAGAGTTCTTTTCCAGTTAGCTTCGGTTGACATGAGAACAGATAGCCTCTGACAAGGCCTTTTTACTCTCTCATTTGACAGTCCTAAAATGTTACTTTAAAACATTTTAGAAGGTTCACAATGACTGTTGCTAACATGACAAGATATGCTCCATCCACCCCATAGAAAAGGGTGAAAAACTCCATCTGGAGCTGAACTCTGACCTTGACCCAGGGATCAATCCTTCTTGACTACGCACCTGCTCCACACTAAAGAGCCACAATGGCTTTTTTTTTTTTTCCTAAAAAGACAGAATTTTTGATGTACCTTCAAGATTCCATTTATATCAGTGACATAATGGTGTCAGCTCTTTGAAGGAAGAAAGAAGAACAGGCAGAAACTAGTATTATATCGTTAAGTGCCCAAGAATCAATTACATCCTTGCTGAGACAAGAGGCAATTTTCCCATTTAAACTTCACAGATGTACGGACTGGCAAATTATTGTTGGGTTGTTGCTTCTTTTATTATAATTAACAATTAAAAAACCCATGTTATAATGTAATTAGCTGTTTACTGGCTCTTATTGGCACAGGTTGTAGCAGAGACTTTACTTTCAAGGATACGAACTACTAAAAAAGCATTTTAATCAACCCTTTTATATTCAGTCACTAGTATAGAACTATTTTGGCCCCACAATTAAACCACTGGAAATTTCTAGGCTCATTTGGATTTCTAAGAAACATCTTGTGGAAACCTATTGTTTCCTTTCTTAAAATACCCAGCTCAGAGTTTATTGATTCTCCATTTCTGGAAAATGTAGTAGCAATTTTTCTAGCCTTTTTGTCCTCCCTTTTGTTCTTGTTCATCCCTAAATAATTTAAAAAATATCAATTTAGGCTCATATTCTTAATGTTTTTCAAATATACCTGCATGCAGCATGCAGAAAAAAACATTTTTGCTCAGGGTCAAGTAGGCATTGTTTGATCACCCAGTGCCATGTTGGAAAAAGGAACTAGAAATGGGAATTATTTAGGTTAATAGAAAACTGTTCATAATTATGAGAGCTAACATTTACTATGCACCAGGCACTGTTTTGAGTACTATACTTGCTGTTCACATATTAACTCATTTAATCCTCACAAGGACCCTCTGAGATAATTTGTTATAATCCACAGTTTACAACAGAGGAAATGGAGCTGCCCAGAGGCTGAGTAACTAGGCCATGGCTATAGAACTTGTAAGTGGCAGAGCTGGGATTCAAACACGGGCAGCTGACCCCAGAGCCCACACTTAACAGCCGCTACAGTTTACTGGTATCTACAAGGCATTATTGTGACTGTTAAAGCAAGGCCCAATCAATGTTTGTTTTTAAAAACAACTCATGAAAACAAAGTAAAAGTTTAAAAAGCAACTACTTTGTATGCTATCAGCACTGATGGGATTACTGAGGAATGTTTCACTTGCTTACTCTGTGCCAGGCTAAAGCATGACATAGGTTAAAATGCCCAGAATATATCCATGGAAATGATGGCAAAACTTTTGCTTGTGTAAAGCATTCATGCACATAACAGATCACTGAAATTGCCCATATTGCCTTATGTGGTCTCAGACTCTAAATCTAAGAAATGATACCAGTATATTTTTGCCACATAATTAAAACCATATAGATATAAATATTCAAGCTACTTTCCACATATTTAAAAAACTATTCTGAAATCATCTTCCTGTTGCATCAGGGCATCTCATGTAGAGAAGCAAGTGATCTCCAATAATTAGCAAGTAATCTACTTCTTACTTGTATCCTATCCTTTTACAAAGTAGGACTTGAGTCAACTCACAAGAAAAGATTTTGAACAAGGACAAGCATTATATGCAATTTTTAAAAAAATCATGGGATGTGGGGCATATAGAAAATGGTGGTTTCAGAAAACTTAAGACTGGACATAGATACTACAACTGAGCTGGCATTTCATCCTTAAAGGGCCACAAGGCAATGGTGTGATGTTGGTGAAATGTGCCTCAGGTTCTGATAGTTCATCTTTTATCCTTGTTCCCTATCAGGCTGCTAGCACTTAATGCTGATATTTTTCTCAGTCATGTCTCCTGGGGTTGCTTCCCTCAGGGTCTCTTACTTGGCTGTCAGCTCATCTTTCAGAAACCACAACTTGGTATCTGCTCAAGAAACTACCCCTCCCCCATGCAGAAGAATAAAACTGGACTCCTGTCTCTCACCATATATACAAATCAACTCGAAAGGAACTAAAGACTTAAATGCAGGATGCAGATTATGAAATTACTAAAGGAAAACATAGGAGAAATGCTTCATGAAATTGAGCTGGGCAAGGATTTTTAAAAATAAGAAAGCACAGACAACGAAACTAAAATTAGACAAATAGGATTACATCAAGCCCAAAAGCTTCTGCACAATGAAGGAAACAAAGTGAAGAGACAACCTAGAGACTGGGAGGAAGTATTTGCAAACTATACATCTGACAAGGGGTTAATATCCACAGTATATGGGGAATTCAGAACACTCAATAGCAAAAAAAAATCTGATTAAAAATGGATAAAAGACCTGAATAGACATTCTGAATAGACATTTTTCAGAATATACAAATATTCAACAGACATATGAAAAAATACTGAACATGCCTAATCATCAGAGAAATGCAAATCAAAACCACGATGAGATATCACCTCACCCCAGTTAGAATGCTATTATCAAAAAGACCTCCCCACCCCAGAAAAAATGCTGGCAAGGATGCAGAGTAAAAGCAATTCTTTATACATTGTTGGTAGAAATGTAAATTAGTACAGCCATTATGGAAAATAGTATGAAGGTCTCTCAAAACACTTAAAAGCAGAAGTACTATATGATCCAGCAACCCCATTAGTGGGTGTGTATCCAAATGAAATGAAATCAATGTCACAGAGACATCTGCACACCCATGTTTTCAGTGTACTTCACAATAGTCAAGATATGAAATCAACCTAAATGCCCATCTACAGATGAATGAAGACAGACACATACACACACACAGACACACACACGAATATTAACCATAAAACAGAATGAAATCCTGTTATTAGTGGCAACACAGATGAACCTGGAGGACATTACATTAAGGTAAAGAAGCCAGACACTGTGATCTCACTCATGTGGAGTCCAAACAGTTGATTTCCTACAGGTAGAGAGTAGAATAGTGTCCACCAGAGGCTGCAGAGGGGTGGGGATGGGGATCAGGAGGAGAGGCTGGTCAATAGGTACAAATGTTAGAGTTAGGAAGTTTTGGTGCTCTATTACACAGTAGGGTGACTACAGCATGTAAAGGTGAAGTGTACATTTCATGATAACTAGAAGATTTTCAGTGTCATCACAATGATAAATGTTAAAGTGATATGGTAATTATCCTGATTTGATCACGATACTATGTATACATGCATTGAAATATCACATTGTGCCCCATAAATATGCATAATTATGTATCAATTATAAATTAAAAAAGAAATTACCCCTCCCAGGAGAGCTTAGAGTAGATGAGAGCACTTGAAAATGTGTTACAAATATTTATTGTTAGTATAAATGGGACATTTAGCAGAGGAATTTCTTTAGGAACTGAATCAAATGGTAACTCAGGCAGCTATGGTAGGCTGTGAGGATGTTTGGATGAGGTATGGAGTAAGAGTCCAACTTGAGATGTCATAATAGGACTGTGTGAAAGCAGCTTTTGCCTGACAATAGGAAGAGAAAAGGAGGGGAGAAGGTAGAACAGATAAAAGGCAGAGCCTGGCGGAGTCTATTTGTAAGGAGCAGAGTGGAAAGAGAAGTCCATCCCTGCTACCTTTCTAACCACAGTTCAGGCAGTTCATTTTTACATACACTTAGTGAACCAGACATGTCTCTGCTCTCAGCAAGCCCACAGTCTAGTGGATGATACCAAGAGGCAGCTTCTCTCCATCACTCTGCACATCAGATACCTGCTTGCAGAGGTCTGAGAGGAGGGGAGTGCACACCCAGATGGAGATCACCCCTCCAGAGGGGGAGGCTGAGTGTGTGTGGAGTCCTAGTCCTCAGAGCGTGTGTAGGATGAGGCTTCTGCATCAATGCCACGCATGACAGCAGCTAAGCGCTAGTAATACCAGAAGTCAGTACACAGTCAAGTTGTGTTCTCTCACTTGGCCATATAGACCAGGAGAGCAAGGAGGGCCTTAGAGGTCATATCTTTCAAATTTGTTACTTTACAGATGAAGAAACTGAAGCCCAAAAGATGTACTGATTCACTGGATCATGAATGGCAGAGCTAGAAACTGAAACCAGCCACTCTGGTGCCCTGCCCATTCCAAGTTTAGGTTCAAGCCACAGCGGCTTGACAGCTATTAGAATAAGAATGCATCTAGGGGAGAGGGCATTTTCAGTCTTATCAGTTGTTTACACTTCAAAGTTAATGACTTCATCAGAACCTTTTGGAGAACAGATTTGGAAAGAGGGTGAAGAGAGATAGGCACCTGGGATCAAGGAAAACAGGTTGTGACCACCAAAGTCAAGCTTTGCTGACTCCCAGTGGGGCTCATTAATGCACAGCCACAAGTTCTGACCCCATCCCCCAGCCTGTGTGTCTTAATGCTTTATCACTTGGAAGGGGAGGATAGAAACCTCTTTTGACAAAACAGAAGTGACTGCCAGAGTCCCAAGGAAATTCTGAGGGTTACATACACTCACACACACCTTTCTCTTATGGAGAGGCAGATTCCATTGCTGGCATAGGGCCTGGTCCCTACTGTTGAATCAGTGATGTTCACAGGCATGCAGGAAAGGCGGGACTTGGAGGCCCTAGCTAGTCTACCTGGGGCCCTGTGGAAGGGGCAGGGCAGTGATAGCCATAGTGGAGAGTGGGTGCTTCAGCAGCTGTTCTTTTGCTGAGCCCAGATCTGAGAGGGGGAGGCCAATGAAGCTGCATGTGGCCCTCTGGGGGAAGCATCATCTTCACTCACATTGGATAGATTTAAGAATTTGTGTTGGCACTGTTGGTTAGCTGACATACACCATATCCACCACCCTTTCAGCTGAGCCACCTTCCAGGTGGGCATGGTCACGTGACCCAGTTGGGCTAGGCAGACTCAAGCTGAAGTCTGTTGGGTAGGGTTTCTAGGAGATTTGCTTTCCCAATTTAAAAAAGGGAGAGCTAGATTCACCTGACATGCTGCTCTCTTCCTTTTTCCTTCCCACAACATGGATACACAGCAGCACTCTTTAGAACCAGCACAAGCCATTACAACAAGGATGACAAAAAGAGCCTCATCACTGATTTTATCCACTAGTTTTGGACTGCTTCCTCTAGGTTTCCTAATACATGAGAAAAATAAGAACCTATTTGTTTAGGCCACATAGTTGGGCATTTTCTTGGCTTTATAAAAGGCATCAGTCCTGGTGGTACTCAAGGCCTTTCACAGTCTGGTGCCCCTAAATCTTTCTCATCTCACCTCCTGCCATCTGCCTTCCTTCTCTAAGTCCCTTTCCTTCAATTCACAAGTCACAGCCCTGGGAAGCCTTCCCTGGAAGAACTAGTTGCACACAGTGCTTTGAGCTCCAGCTTCGTTTATGCCACTATAGCACATAGAACCATGAATTATTTGTTGATTTTCCCAGATTCCTGCAGTCATCTCTTAATTCAACTCTCAGCCCCTACCTTTGCCTCCCTGTAGAATACAGTGTATTCTCAAGACAGCAGAGGAGTTCTTTCAAATTGCCAGTTAGATCACATCCCTTGTTGCGAAATCCTCCAGTAGCTGCCCCCACCTTTTTTTTTTTTTTTGCGATGGAGTCTCGCTCTGTCACCCAGGCTGGAGTACAGTGGTGCAATCTTGGCTCCCTGCAAGCTCCGCCTCCCAGGTTCAGGCCATTCTCCTGCCTCAGCCTCCTGAGTGGCTGGACTACAGGCACCCGCCACCATGCCCGGCTAATTTTTTGTATTTTTAATAGATATGGGGTTTTACCGTGTTAGCCAGGATGGTCTTGATCTCCCGACCTCGTGACCCAATTCTTAAAGTGAAAGGCCGAGTCCTTACAATGGCTTATAAGGCCCTGTATGATCTTCCCACCCCTCTTACTTCTCTAAACTCAGCCCCTCCTACTCTCCTACATGCTCACCCTTCAGCCTCACTGGCCCACTTGATGTTCCTCCAATTTGCCAGGTACATCTCACCTTACAGTCTTTGCATAAGCTATTGCCACTGCTAAAATGCTCTTCCTCCTCCCAGTCTTTACTCAAGAGATAACTTCTCAGTGAGGCCTACTTGGACTACCTAATTCAAATCACAGCCCAATCCCATCCCTATAACCCAGCCTCCATTCTCTCTTCCTCTGCTCAATTTTTTTTTCTGTACCACTTATCACCTGATATACTATATAATTTGCCCATTTGTTAAGCTAATTTCTCACGGCTTATTTTCTCTTGCCAAAATGAAAACACCCTGAGCACAGGCATTTTTGTTTATTTCAAATGCTCAGAACAGTGCTTGGCACACATGTATTTGTTAAGTGTGTGAATAAATTGATTTGTATAAGATGACTACACACCGGGTAATTACTATGTTCTAAACTCTCTCAGCTCCTGATGATGTATGTAGTGGGAACAGGCCCTGGAAAGGTTCTCAGTGCAGTAAACTCTTTGCCCATTCCAGTTACCTCAACTAGACTAGGCTCATTAATAGGCACAGGGCAAGTATTATCAAATACAGGAAAAATGAGAACTGCAACACTGATTTCTGAAAAACTATCTCATTACAATCACATTCCTACTTCATGCAGAAAAGGAAAACTGGAACAGTTCCAGGGTTTGGAGAGCTTTACCGAGAAAAGGTTGTTAAAACAAGCAGGCTGCCCTGGAATCAGTATTTGAAGGGCTCTCTTCCCCCTAGAATGGTGGCCACCTGGCTGATCTTGCCCACATTATTTTTTTGAGACGGAGTCTCATTCTGTTGCCAGGCTGGAGTGCAGTGGCGTGATCTTGGCTCACTGCAACCTCCGCCTCCCAGGTTCAAGCGATTCTCCTGCCTCAGACTCCCAAGTAGCTCGGACTACAGGTATATACCCCCACACCCGGCTAATTTTTGTATTTTTAGTAGAGATAGGGTTTCACCATGTTAGCTAGGATGGTCTTGATCTCCTGACCTCATGATCCCCCCACCTTGGCCTTCCAAAGTGCTGGGATTACAGGCATAAGCTACTGCGCCTGGCCTCTTGCCTGCATTTTATTCCAACTGAAGGCATTTCTTACCTTTGGACTCAAAACATGCTCTGATTAGACCAGCAGCACCAATCAGCCCTGGTGGTGTTTCAAAGAACTTTCCTTCCTTTGAACTTAACAGTGAAAGGGAGGTTAGCCTTAACAATGAAAGGTTATTTAGATATATCTTTTTGGCCAACCCTTTTATGCAAATCTAACTGCACTTGATGACAGAAATCAATCTTGATAAGTTTGCTCTTGATTTCATGGAAGGGTGGACAGTTCATGTAACAAAGTTTTCTTTAGTTTCCTGACGTGTTTCAGGGCAATAAGAAATCCTATCGACTTTGAAGCTTTTTAAAAGAGATGGTTGCTGGGTTCTTTGGGGGGAATTTATCCCACAAACAGCATGAAGATTTATTTTCATTCAAAAAATTGTGATTTTTTTGTGTGTTTTGACTCTGCTTATCTCTTCAGTGGAAAAGTACTTTGTAACTGATAAGCACTTCAGCAGATCAAGGAGATTCATTACCCTGGCAGTTTTTCATTTTCAGATAGAAATGAGTAGAAATTATCCAATTTCTCTTTTTATAATAACGTCCAATACATTTAGTGTTCAATTTCACACTGTCCCTTGATTTATAGCATTTGCCAGATTAATCGAGATCTGGTGATATTATAAAAGGTGGGGGTGTTCTGTTAACCCTTTAAGCCCAGGAGGCAGGCATACAGAACACCATGGGAAATACACTGACTCTGAAACATACTCCAGAAAGCAATTAACTTATGTTCTATTCGTGTTTCTATCTTGTCCTACCCAGCTCCAAATCTTGAGGAAATATGCAGATTCCTGACAGCAGCAGAATCTTTCAGAAAGGAGTCTCAGAAAACTTTATTAGAACCAACTGGAAAGTAAGCTGGAAGGTGCATATGAAACCTTTCGAATTCTGATGGTTTTGAAGTATAGATAACCTATATCTTCTATACCTTTGCATGCCAGGTTTTTATGAGGAAGACTTGCCTTTCACTGTCTACCTCTCTAGGGGGCGCTGTGGTTTGGATGAAGCTTTCCTGGCTCTGTCACCTACCTCTTAACTTCATCTCTCTGGGTCTCAGTGTCCTTATCTTTAAAATGGACACAATAAGATGAAAAGTAAAGTATATGGCACATAGTAGCACTGTATAATAATACCCCCCAAACACTAAATTTCCCTTAATTTAGGCAATGTTTACAGCTCAAGTCCTAGCATCTTTCTCAAGGTGGCTCGTGAACTAAAGTGTGCAATGGTATGCAGACATGTGAATACAGTTCTGTCTGCAAATATATTGAAAATCATTCGATGACAGAAACTAGGTGTTAAATTGTGTTCCTTTGGTTTCCTATATAATGTAACTGCTTCATAGATATTTAGTGATGAATAACTTAAAAGAGAAAGAGGGGCAGAAGGAAAAAAAAGAAACCTCATGGGTTATCCTTTTTGCTTATTTGATAATTCCCTGTTTAGATTTCATTATGCTGGCAACTCCTGCAGTTCCTCTGGGCTGAAGAAGTCCTCCTGGAAGAGCAACCTGTAATTTTCCTTTCCAGTGTTCGATTGCAACTTCTAACCACCGTAGCCCCTTCATGCCAGCTTCAGCCAGTCTGAGGGCACAGGCTGGAAAAGAGAATCCTTTCCACTCCTTATTTCTCCAGAATACGCCTATGCTGCCTCTGAAACACCTCCGGCCCATCCCCCCCATCTCACAGCTACTGCCCTAGGTCATCTTATCTCACCTGGATTCAGTCTCATAAATGCCTCTTTCCACCCTGGTCCATGCTAACCTCTGCTGCTGGATCAGTTTGATTCAGGTATAGCTCCCCTGACTGGGGAACTAAATCCCTCAGCCTAGTCCCCATCGTCCTCCATTACCTCTCCACATTCAGCTCTCTCAACCTCACCTCCTTTTCTTCATGTCTCCCTTACTTCATCCTAATCAAGCTCATGTGGTCCACCCCACGAGCCCCTTCTGACCTCCCTGCCGCTGCTCATTTTAACCTATTCCCTGGTTGCCCAAATCTACCTTGTCTGCAGCCCAGGCCCTGATTTCTCTCAGGCAGGGCTCTCACGCCCCGCCGTCATCAAGCTTTTCCATCCATCAGCTGGGGGAAAATGGCTTCTGCTGGCATCCCTTGACCTTATCAAGACCTCTTTTAAAGTATTTATCCTTCTCAATTTTGTCTTATATTTTATAAAATATTATCTAATATTTTATATTACAAAAAATTGTATTTTCGTATGCCTTTTCTCTTCTACCTGGTTATACTGTAAGCATCTTGTAGCCAGAACTCATGACTGGTTTGTTTTTGAATTTTAAAGAAGTTTCTTTTGCACTATAAACCCAATTCACCTGATTCTCTGAGTTGGAGGAAAGGCATTGGTCGATAGTGAGAGCCCTTGGGTCCAATGGCGTTGTGTTTCTTAGTGAAGTAGGTAACAAAGTCAAAGTTTTCAAAGTAAACAAGCTTTAAATACTTAAGAAAAGTAATTTAGTTCTTCAAAACTATTAAAATGTGGCTTATATATTTTCACTTCCAGTTATAGTTCTATGGCAAACTTTACTATTCAAAAAATTACTGACTCATTACAGAAAATTGGGAAATGCAGAAAAGTGGGAGCAAGGAAAAATGTCTTCACCTTGAATCCAACACATTGCCTGACACGTTAGACTTTCACTATGTTATCTTAAAGGTAGGAATCAATGACATCAAATTTTTTGGGTGATATGGGGCCTTGGAATGAGAGGAATGTATGCTGGGGTGGGTTTCAGAAGCAGCCAGTTCAGTGGCAGGATTTGTGGGGTGATAGGAAGCCCCACTGAGACATCTCCCCAAAGCCCCCTAGCTTAGTGCCACACAGCCTGAAACAGTACACAAGTGTCCTCCTCTCCACTCTGCTCTGCCAACTCAGTAATACACCTGGAGGGTTAACAGAGTTACACACAAAACAGGATTGCTACCCTCCCTGCAGGGGCTGCCTGGGCCAGTGACAGAACTAGGAGAAATCATGTAGAAAGGAAAATTACAGACACAACAATCCTTTACCCAGCTTTTCTATCTAACCAGTCCCATGGGCCCAACCCATGTTTCTCCACCCTTCCTCATCCTCAGATCAGGCCTTTCCTTCTGCCCTTCTGCTCTTCTCTTGCTCCGAGTTCCATCAAATCAGCCCTCACAGTACCTGTCCGGACATCAGGGCTGGGGGTGTCCACTGGTACCGGGAGAAGTGGGCTTGAACCTCCACGAGACTTCCACATGCGACCTCGTCTTGCGAGCACTGGGCAGTGGTCCAGTCCTACTGCTGGCAGGGTCACCGCATGACCTCCTTCTCACAGGCATGCCCCCTCTCCTGCCCTAACAGGCTAATGAGCCAGACGTTGACGGTGAAAATTTATTATGAGAGCACTTAGTATTAGCACTAGGAGGCCCTGTTGCTCATCACTGCTCACAAAACATTTTGAGGCCTTCAGCTGGAAAGTGCTATAATTGCAAAACAGCCTCAGCCAGATCTCGTTCAGTCCATCAGAAACTGATAGGTGAGTTACTGTTCTGTTCTAATGAGTCCCTTCCAATTTGGTCAGATGATTTGTGAAAATCAGATCAGAGGCAAAGTCTTGCCTTCTTCCTGGTACAGATGGAAGAAGAAACTGTGAAAGTGAGGCTGTCCTGGATTTTGGTACAATACAGCAAAATAAAACATTGCCTTGTTACGGACTGTAATTTGTGACTAATTAGGTATAAATGCATTCTGGCTGGCCAGCTCCAATCTAGAGGTCAGCTGGTGTGTTTCCTAATGGACCAGCAAGAGAGAAGGCAAATGCTCATCACAGGGAAATGAGTGTCCTCAGCTGGGATGAGTTGGCTGTGTCTTTGTCAGCACTGCCACTCTGCCTAGGTGGGGTCTTCCTGAAGCCTTCCTTCTCTGAGTTAACTCTTACTTTTCTTTGATGTGTCCACTCAGAAGTCACTTTCTTCTCAAGGCCTTCCCTCACTCCCTGGATTATGTATAACCAGGCATTGAGCTAGATTTCCCTGTTACATCTCAAACCATTGTGCACCATTCATGTAAAGCTCTTATTGGAGTATTAACATCTCACATTTTTGTGAAGAGTTGATTCAACCTATTTCCCCCACCAGACTTGGCCCTTCATGTCAGCAGGACTAGGTCTACTTGAGTTCCCCACTATTGTCCCAGCCACAGTGGGTGCCCCATAGCAGGGGCTCCATACATTTTGAATGAATGAATCACAGACTGCACTGGAAGAGACACTGAAGCTTCCAGAAGTGACACGATTGGCCCAAAGATACAGTGCTCCTATGGCAAATTGTATTTTCTTGATTCCTAGTCCCACATTCCTTCCTCTGTTTGCTTGCAAGCCCTCTCCCCTCAGAATGAAGGTTGCTTCCAGAACTGCCCTGGTCCTTGGCCAGACAGGCTCAGATCCCACAACGGTCGTCAGTGGACACAGGATGGCTAGAGGAAGTGGCGCCCAGCAAGGGCCCTGTCATACCCAGGTCCCTCAGACTATTACTGCGTCCTGCTTCCTTTGAGGCACGATAGTGTATTGCACTAAAGATCTAAGACTTTAGTTCAGAAAACAGCTGATATCTACTAGAAGAACGTTAGAGGCCCGAGGCCGCTCAACAGGCAGGAAAGTAGGTCAACTTAAATTCTATACGCAGAGGGAGAGCTACAGTTAAATGATGGGAGACATGTTATGATCCTACTGTTAGGGTCTTGGGGAAAGAATAATTCCCCACCCCCAGTCACTAAACTGGCAGTAGAAACAATTAAAGACCTTAGTTACCCAGGAACATCTATTTCGTTCAGAGAAGAAAAATAGCGCTTATGAGTGTTCATGAAATGATTTCAATCAAGAGCAAGACTATAAACTTAACAGCATGAATGGTATAGATAGAGCCAGGTGCACCAGGAAACACACTGTCTTTAAGTTAAATGGCTAGGCTCTCTCATATGGTCACTAGAAAATTATAGAGGGGAGTTGTTAGCTTGGCATTTCCTTTTTCAATAGTAAATCAATGAATCCTTCATTTTTACTAAATTGTTTTCCTACCCTCTAGGGAAAATATGACACAAGCATAATGCAGATGCAGAAAGGAAAGGCCAGGCTGGGACAAAACATTTAATTAAATCCCCTTTTATAAAACAACTTTCCTTCAGCTTGAAAAATGGATGAAACAAAATGTGCTTATACAGGCAAAACAATTAACCAGGTCCATAACAGTTTATAGCTAGCATGGATCAATCACAGGTGGTAGTTGATTCTATTGCCTGTCATGTGTGTCAGGGCGGTTGGTAGGGGAGGCAGTGGGGAGCTCAGTCTCAAAATGGGGGCCCCAACTCTCCACTCCCCTCAAAGAGCAGCATAGGCTTATGTGGGAGTTGGCAGTGCCCAGAGTTCTGTGTTTAAGGAACAGTGTGGAGACAGGTTCCATCAAGGATCTCCCTGGCGTGTGTGTGTGTGTTTGTGTGTGTGTATGTGTGTGGTGGAAGTTGGAAGAGGAGTGTGGGGGAAGCCTTCTCCCCATTCCAGCCTGAGAAATCTAGTCCAGTCATTCCCAAACCTGTGCCTGAGATTCACCATCATCTGGGGAGGTTTTTAAAAACACAGATGCCCTATCCCATCCCAGACAGTGGAATCAGTGTGTCGCAGGGCAGAGTCAGAATATTCTACTTTGCTAAGCTCTCAGTCTGGAAAGACCCACAGGGTATGGGGCTCTCTGCTCCATCCAGTGCCTGCTTTGGCAGCAAAGGAAACCAAGTTTGGGGATTGCTCAAGCCACATGGTTCTTGAGTGGGGAGTGGACCCGAGTTACCAGTGACTGGCCCAGGGGACCTCAGCTGCCTATGCTGCCTCCAGAGCCACACCCCACCAACTCCAGGAATGTCAGTGCCCAAGAGGACTCAAGGTCTTCATGGATCCAAGAGCCCAGGGCTTTTGCTGCAATAATATGCTGCTTCCTGTGTTCTTACTAAGGTCTGTTCATTTGTTGATTTGGTCATTTATTCATTTCTTTAATTCTTCAGCATTAAACTTGTATGCTTGTCTACTTCATGCCCAGCTGCAGGTGACGGGGTTATAAAGATAAATGAGCAGTGTCTGTACCCTGGAGAATCATACAGCTTACTAAGAGTGACAGCCTATAATATATGACAATTCTAGGCACTTATTGCTTGCTAGGCACCATTCTGGGCCTTTTCCCTGGGTTAACTCTGTTAATCCTCCTCAGTGACCATGTGCAGTAGGTGCTATTGCCCTCATTTTGAAGATGATGAAGCAGATGTGCAGAAAGGTGAAATAACTTGCCTGAAGTCACACAGCTAAGAAGGGGAGGACCCAGGATTAGCATTCTGTTGCTTAGACTGCCTCTGAGCCGGTCTTCTTAGCCTTGAGCCCATGCTGCCTCTGGCTCAGCTCATTGTACTTTCAGAGTACAGTGGGGCACAGGGAGCAAGGGCTCAGTTCTCAGACGGATGAGGAAAGGACCGTGGAGAAGAAGTCACCACACTGAGCACCAGGTAGAAGGCAGGGTAAGAAGAAGAAGTGGGACAAGAAGAGCATCCTGAGCCATGGGGGCTTTGGGAGCAAAGACCTGGAGGCATCTCGCTGTGGGTTACCTGTCACACCTGGCTTGAGAGGTCACAGAGCCTTCACACATATGACTTATCCCTTTAGTTAGGGGCCAGACTCCTAGGACTATGTCATTCTTCCCTGTATCCCCCCAACTCCCCTCATTCTCCAGAGCACCCAACGAATGAAAAGAGAGATGCAAAGAACACAAGGACCTGGGCTCTGAGAGGAGGCTGGAGTAGCCTCTTAAGGGCTCTGGCAGGTGGGAAGGAGGTGGTTCAGTGGAATGTGTGGCCATGAGGATAAAGCAGAAGTTAGTCATGTCAGAGGCAGAGGTGGCCCTTCTAAAGCTCAGGCACCAACCTCTGGGCCTTAAAATGAAGCCCTCAGCAGTTTTATTGCTTCAGGAGTTCAGAGACTGCCCTGGGGCTGAATTCAGCCTGCCTCTGACATTGTTGGTTTTCCAGAGCAGCAGAATTAACCAATGCATACTACATTGTTTTCATGCTCACTTAAACCACATTCAAACTGTGCTTACAGCAGGAAAGGGACAGTTAAGAAAGAGTGAATGGTGCAGAAAACACAAGGAGCATATGCTGACGGTGGCTGAGAATTTTTGTGACTTTTGTTTGCCCCTCTCTTCTGCAGGGAGACCCACCTAGGGATTTTACAAGTGCTGAAAACACAGCAATTTATAATGTTTCCTGTGGGAAATCAACAAAGTCCTTTAAGGCATTTGAATGGTATCTTTAATCTCCACTGTGCTAATGCTGCTTGAGTTCTGGGAGGGTTCCCTTTTGCTTATGATTGGCAGAGTAAGGGGAAACACCCTATTCACTGGGTGCTCTGGAGAATGAGGAGAGTCGGGGTTACGGGGAAGACTAACGTGGTTCAAGGAGTTTGGCCCCTAACTAGGGGGACAAGTCATATACATGAAGGCTCCATGACTTCACAAGGCAGAGATGAGATACAGGTCATCCACAGTGAGGTGCCTCCAGGTCTTTGCTCTCAAAGCCCGCATGGCTCACGATGCTCTTCATGTTCCACAGGGTATCCCACCGGGTAAATGAAGCTGTATATGAGCCTGTCTGTGTTAGCCAAGGGCCACAGCAAGCCTTTGCTTACCGATGCAGGTCTTTACTGAATGTAGTGATACTCTCTTTGATGTGAAATTACAAAATGATAAACAGCTTGGTGGTAGAAAGCCACTTGAACAGTGTACACCCCAAAGGAGCTTTGCTGGTAAAACTGAAGCCGTTTAAATATATTCATGGACAAGAGGCTTTAAAGCAAGCCTGGCATAACTTTGGGGCATTGTTATTCTACAGAGCTTGGTCTAAAACTACAGATTTAAAGATGCTGTTCTTCAGAATTCTATTTACTGACTTGAGGGCAACTTTATTTGGTGACATCAGGAAGTTTGTCCATTTTCTGTGCTGTGCCCTTTCAGACAGGCTTACTCTTCTCTAGGATCTTACTGTGCTGACATATTCTTGTTAACCCAGTTTTTTTCTTTTATCATTCTCACCTTTCCAACCTTCCTCCCTTTCATCAAAACTTACCCATTCTAAGTTGCATTTTCTCAGGGCCCTACTTTTTGTTTGCCAAAGTGGTAAACAGTAACTGAGAATCTCATGAGTATTCATGAGTAAATGGAATGAGCTAGAATTCCTCTTGACTCTTTCCTCAACTCCTTCCTCCACTTTGTGGTAGAATATCTGCTTAACGGATATTCTAGGTACTCTCTGGAGCTTTAAAGGGAATTTCAGGCCATGTGAAAAAGGGTGTGGAGCTATGCCAGGGAGGGTGGGAAGTGTACTTATGAATAACGTGGGATCCTCACAGAAAACCTCAGATAAACACTTTTAACACAAACTAATATTCCTACTGCATCAGATACCTTAGCAGGTAATTATAGTCACTTTCTTACTAGACATTGGTCTCTCTACTTTTATCAAGAACCCAAGAGTTAGTCAAAGGCATCTTGGCAGTTAAACATATGCATCCTTCAAGCATTTAGGACAACCTAAGACTGTGATTGCTAATTTCACATCAGCCAGTATCTGCACTTTTTTTTTTTTCCAGAAGAAAAAAACCTTGTTATCTTTCAATGCAGAGTTATATTGAAGTGATCAATGTGTGCTCTGGATGGGCTGTGGTTTCTGTTTTCTATGCCAGCCTCCTTGAGGGCCCTTCTCTCAGAGTTCCCCATCTCCGCCCTGTACTATCAATTTGGCCATATGTAAAGTGTCCTTTAAAATACCTTCTAGGCAGTGTGTCATTTACTCATTCATCCATCCATCCATCCATCCATCCATCCATCCATCCATCCATCCACTCATCCATCCATCTCTACTCATCCATCCATCCAGCCACCTACCCACTTAACCACCCATCCCCTAATTACCCATCCATCCTTCTACCCACCTGACCACCCATACCCTTATTACCCATTCATCCTTCCACCCACCCATCAGCCCAACCACCCATCCCTTAACTACCCATCCATCCACCCACCCACTCATCAATCCAACCATTCTGGGTGGTTTGGCCTTACTGAAATAGGAGAGGGAGACAGGTTGCTGAGGAAGGTGCCTGCACAGTGGAGCTCCACCCTTTAAGATCAACGTAGAGCAAAATGAGTATAAAGTAACAATTTTATACAAACAAGATGGGCTTCCTACAAAACAGTTTCTGAAAGGACTCATGTACTGTTACAGAGCAGCATCTCAGTGGAGATACGCCCTCATGTCAATAAAACAGACAATATATTTTCAGCTCCCAAGGTCAGAATGCTCACCAAGCTCTCACATGTTTAAAAACTGGACAATTATAGCATTGTTGGCTTTTGCAAATTGCTTGCTACCTATGTAAATTCTAACTTTAAACTCACATGGGCTGGGCACGGTGGCTCATGCCTGTAATCCCAGCACTTTGGGAGGCTGAGGCGGGTAGATCACCTGAGGTAGGAGTTCAAGGCCAGCATGGCCAACACAGGGAAACCCCGTCTCTACTAAAAATATAAAAATTAGCCCAGTGTGGTAGTGGGTGCCTGTAATCCCAGCTACTTGGGAGGCTGAGGGAGGGAGAATTGCTTGAACCCGGGAGGCAGAGGTTGCAGTGAGCCAAGATTGTTGTGCTACCGCACTCCAGCCTGGGTGACAGAGTGAAACTCCATCTCAATAAATAAATAAATAAACTCACATGTTGCAAGTAAGCGTTATTAGCACTAGAAAGTGAAATGGGACTGGTGAGTTCAGTTAGTAGAGACGAACAAAGGCTTGCTTAGGCATAAAACAAGATGGGAGAGGACATGATGTTGTGTAAGAAAACTGCCAGCCCATGGGGCCCGGTGGGGTGGGAGCTAGGGATGAATGACAAAGATTTTCCTACTAAGTTGGAAGAATGTTCTCTGAGGTTATGGTCCTTTGATTGTTTCTAGTACTTAAGCATGATCAACTGCCATTTGAGCTACATAAAGTATGACTAAGGACTCCATTTACAGCCTCTGGGAAAGAAAGAGTCTTTTGAATCCTCTGTAGCCTGCTCTGGCTAAAGAGACACATTAAGGTATGGTATAAAACAAGCCACCCCTGTAGGGGAACAGATTAGGGCTTGGGGGTGTGGGGGCTGGGGGCCAGAATATTACATTTGAGATACAAAATTACATTGAGAGGCAAGGTTTAAAATCATTTGTCTCACCACATGTTTTCCATTTGTGACTTCTCAAAGCCACAACAAAGGCTCTCCCCTCCTTGCCCATGTGCCTGCTATACTGATAAGGTGAACAGTTTTTTTTTTTAAAGGTTTTCAGCATAATAGTGTTTTAAGACGTAATCTCATTTGCTGCTCCTTTAATTGCTGTTTTGTAATGTTTTATCTATTTTAATTACTGTTTTAATGTGCTGCTTGTACCCTGAGGTGCTTCTGTGAAGGGTACCATTTTAAGAAATGAAGAACTAGATAAACAAATAAATCCACAGGTAAGGGATCATAGTAGTCTACCCTGTGTTTAAATGAGCATTTTTAATTTGCCTGGTATTGAGTGTTGACTAGCAATAGTCTCTTTTTCATGTGTAAGGACAGAGGTATGATGTCTAAGGTCCAACACAAAGCATACGTAGAGCTGGGAATAAAAGGCAATATTCCCAAGGGCTGTCCTAATTCACAATAAGTAGAACTTATGCTATCATGTTTAAGTTTGATCTTATGTTCCCAACAATTCTTTAGAAGTAGCAATAGCTCTAATGAAGGCAAAAGTATATATTTTCCATTTAACTCTAGTAGCAATTGAATTGTAGTTTTCTTGGCCAGGAAACAAATTCAATAGACCCAGTTCTTAACCTGAGTCATGTTACCCTTAGTCACACACATGACACGATTGCATTCCTTGGCTTACTAAAGCAGGAAATGGACCAGTGGCTTGGGGTTTCCTGACTGGATAAGTAGGTGGTGTAATGACTTAACATCCCTTCACTCCCCCACGGCCACACCCAGATTTTTATTTCCGTATTTAAACACAAGCAAGGTCAAAACAACAGATGAAATTTAATAAAACAGTAGTAGTGACGCCTAAATGTTTTTACTGACTTCCTAAAAATGCTTTGGAATCAGCTTCAACTGCATTTATAAATGAAGAAGGAAATGAAGCTCAACACCCCAGCTACGAAATTGTTTGGTCCTAAATTGGCCAGATGCCTAGATTTCCTTTATGTAAACAGGGTCAAATGTGAGGCCAGCCAATTGTAAACTAAGATTCTAGCCTCCTATATTCTCATAGTCGGAGATGTTAATGAAGTTGCCAGGTTTCCACAAAGTTGAAGTGCAACCTCTTCCTATCATGAAGCCCAGGCAGATGCAACCAGCCCAGGTAATGGCACAGCAGCCTAGGCCACTTGGAACAAATGTGGTTCATGGAGTGCAAAAGAAATAACTTTATCATGCCCCACCTTTCCCCAACACACACGTACATACCTACTTTTTCAGACTCTGGAGCGGGGTCCTTGACTTTTTAATAGTCTCAGATAGTTTATTTTTAAGTCCTCTGGTGACTTCTAATCACATAAATAGTCTCAGCTTAGTAATATGTAATAATAACAATCCCTAAATTTCAGCTGGAGTGAGTCTTCCTACCCCATCAGCTTGGGCCTGCCACCAGGGGTGAAGGGGCAATCTTCTTATTTTCCTTCTCTTCCTTACCCCATTCCTAGTTGCTAGCTTGACTTCTCCAAGGTGAGGGGACAGAGGAAAAGGAAGAGGTAAATGGGAAAGAAAGGTTTCATTCAATTGGCATGAATGTGGCATATTTCCCTTTGGCTGTGGTGGATGTTGGAAGCTGGCCCATGTGGGCATTTGTGAGGTCTCTTCAGGGTTCCGTCTACCCCTGGGCCCTCTGATGGGCAGTTTCCTGATATGGACTGTGTGTCCATCCACCACTGCCTTGGCCCCTGAACATCTAACTCCATAGCCCCGGTTTTCCTCTGCTGTGATCTTCTCACCCCTTCAGGTAACATTCTAGGTCAGAAAGTAAGCCACCTCCACAGAGGCTCTCTCCATTATATCACACATGTCAATCAATAGGAAACACACTCTTTAGATACATTCTTGGTGGGAATGTAGGAACTTCTCAAGCTGTGGCTCACTCTGCTGTTGTAGACCACTTCAGCTAGTTTTTGACACCTTAGATTTCTTAGATGTGAGTCAGACAGTGAGTATATCACGGGGTTCCCCAGTCCTTTGAGGACATGCATGAAACTTGTCAATGGTCTCACTGAAGCCACATCTCATGGGCTTAAGATGAGGACAAACAACTTATTACCCCTTTCACATAGGAGATGTGATTCACAGGTTTACTTTGACCAATGGAATGTGAGTAGACATGATACATGCCATGTCCCAGCAGAAGCTCTTGGAAACTTTGGGAGTTTCAATCCTTTTGCTCCTTTCCTCTGCTACAAGAGAATAGCATGCTACGGATGGGACTGCTCCTTTAGCCTGGGTCTAAGAGTGAGAAAACAGATGGCACAGAGCTCCAAACAGAGTCAAGCCGAGCTGAGCTGCAGATGAACCCAGCAGAGTCAAGCAGATCTGTAGCTGACACCATACCTTTATGGAATTTGAACAAAACACTGATCTTTATGGTTGTAAACCATTGTGATATTAGGACTAGTTCCTGCAGCAAAAACTGGCATATACACTAGCCAATAGGTGGCCAGGGAGGTATGAGATTAATTAGGTGGAGTGTGTCTTAGAATCCAAGTGAAGAAAGTGTTTCAAGTAAGATCAATTATGTTAAAAGTTTTTGATTGTCCAATAAAATGCAAAGTGAAGCTTGACCATTGGACTTAGCAACGCTGAGGGGAGTATCAAGACTAACAAGAACAGCTTTGGTAGAATGATGGGGCTACAGACTGCTCAGAGTAAGTTTAAGAAAGAGTGAGAAGAAAGGATTGGTAGACACTATGAATTATAGCTCTTTTGAAGGATTTTGCTGTAAAGGACAGCAGAGAATGGGGCTGTAGCTGGAGAGAAATGTTTTATTTTAAAAAATAAAAGTAATTAATCTGGGTTTTTAAATTATCCAGTGAAAAGGACAAAATAATGATATGAGGGAAAAAAAGAGACAAATATTGGAGTAATGTCTTCCAATAAGTAGAGAGGATATGATTAACAGGCAAGTAGAAGGGGGGGCCCTAACTGGAGTGAGGCCAGTTTGTCGGTTGTAATATGGTGGAAGGTGGAGTTTAAGGAAACTGATGCAGGAGGTAGATACACTGGGGACCTCGTGGAAGTTATCTTCTGACTGTTTCTATTCTCTTACGAATTGGAAAGATGATCTGCTTAAAGAGAAGGCTGGGGAAGGGGTTATGGGGGCTTGAGGAGAGAAAGTTGGAACCTGTTGCTCAGCAGAGTGGGAAGGTAAATGGGTTAGGGCACTTCGGGATGATTGATGAGCAGCTCCTAAAGGCCCTGAATGCCTACTGGGTGCCAGGCACTGTGCTAACAGCTGAGAGACAGAGGGAAGAGGTCCAGACCTCACTTTTACCCTCAGGAGTCTCACAGTCTAAGGTGGAAAGTTGTCATTCAGATCCATTAGTGAACCATGAGTTACTTCTGTGGGGTGTGATCTATCAGGATGGGAAATGTGGGAATGCGGTGGGAGTACAAAGCAGGAAAGTACCTTAGCTGGGGCAGGAGGCTGCTGATGGGTAAAAGGTTCTCAGGAGAGATGACTGACTCTTAGTGTGAGGCATGGAAGAAGAAATAGGTGGTGTGGCACATTTGGGGGAAATTAAAATGCTTCAATATGGCTGAGATATAAGGTAGGTGTGTATGTGTGTGTGTGTGTGTGTGTGCATGCACACATGTGTGCACACAATCATATGTGTATGTACTCACATGCATGTTTAGAAGAGGGTTATATGTGTGACAAAGTGATTCCCAGAGACACATGTGTTGAAAGCCATGATCAATATTCTGCCTTCCTGTTTCCCTGTGACATGCACCACATACTTGAAACTACCACCTTATCCCCCTCTAAGCCTCATCTATTGCAAATATACTTGGAGGAAGCCGAAGTTATAAAGTTGTTATTTATTTTTACAGCATGCATTGGGAGCTATAAGACACACTGCACAACCCAATGAGAAATTAATTGTGAAGACGTAAACACAGGCCAGATTTCCATTTCACCTTGGTGCCCTACTGGGTTATGCAGACTGAGAATTTGGCTCAGTGACTGAAAAAAATTCCTAGCCAAATGTTTGTGTTGAGAACTGGAAGCAAAAGTATTAAGTAAAACACACAACATCAAAAACAATACTATTATATCATTAATTTTACAAAATACATTTACTCCTATAGTCTTGTGTTTCTTTTGTTGCCAGTAGAATAATTTTCTCTCTGAAAACCATTGCCTTAAAGTTAACCTTAAAAAAATAAAACAGGGCAAGTTGTTTTTTGCAAATGACTTGTATCACTATTTGAAATGGTTTCCAGTTAGTATTCCCTAATGGTGTTCCTGCTAACTTCCTACTAAAATCCATTTCAAGGCCCAGAAAAGGCAAACAATTCCAATACTACGGAAAACCCTATGCAATGGACAAGCTTGTGTGGAATATCACAGGAGTTTTCAATACTCATAATGCTGACAATGGTTATTTTGAGAAAAGCAAACAGGAGAATAGAGCATCGTTGTCTGTCTAAAGATGGCAGAAACATACTTTGTTCATAGCCCCGCTGTCTACCCCAATTTGAAGAACACGTGCTTGTATCGACCAAAAAACCTATGACAACACATCATAGGGCAGGAATGAAAGGTGAATTAGGGATGTAGTGTCAGCTACACAAAGGCAGGGATTTCTATGTTCTATTTCTGTCTCTTGCTCTATGCTTTATTCATTGGCTGGCACACAGTAGAAGCTTAATTAATATTTGCTGAATAAATGTGAATGAATGAAGGAAAGAATGGGGGATGGAGGATGGCATTTTCAAAGGCATATTGCATCCCGTGGGACTAAGTGTCCCATTAGTAAAATGGTAGCCATGGGTGGAGATCCCAGGAGTAGAATGTGCTTCATTGGCCAGACAGCCTGGAAACTAAGTGGTAAGGACAGCAGAAAATTCTGTGCAAATAGGGCATAGCTCGAAAGATGAATGTTTGCTAGATCCTGGGCCCTGGGTAATAAATGTTGCAAACTGACCTCTAGCTATGGCTCCAAGAAAAGAATGTGATGAACAACTAGATGAGCATTGAGGGGAGCCAGGGGCAATCCACACACCTGTCCATTGGCGAATACTGAGTCTGGAAAGATTTCTCTATAGTCAAGTACTAGCAAAGACAAGAAAATTAACACAAAGCTTATCAAGATGTTTTACTGAATGAGGAAAAAGGAACATCTTCCTGCAGACCCAGAAAAAATGAGCTTCTGGAATCAGGACAAAGTTTTAGAAAATTGTTAGGCATCCTCAAAAGCATGCAATTATCATGGAGTAATAAGAAAACAACTGGAAAGCCACCAAGGAAAGAAGAGATTACATTGCTGGTGTTTAAGTTAATTCAACCTTGTTGGAAAGCAATTTGGCAAAATGTATTTTGAACTTTAAAACATATTCTACCCTTTGACTTTCTAATTCCATTTTTAAGAATCTATCCTAAGAAAGAAATTAGAGATATAATAATTTTACATGAATAAAATAATCACAGTATCATTTATAATAGTCTAAGATTATTCCAGTATAATATGCTTTAATACAAATGTAAATAATTTTGAATTAAAATTTATTTTATATATAATTATAATATATTATGTTATATAATATATTATATAATATGATATATATTATATATTATAATATATAATATGATATATATTATATATTATAATATATAATATGATATATAATATATAATATAATTATATAAATATAATTATATAAAAATAATTATAATTATATAATTATATAAAATATAATTATAATTATATAATTATATAAAATATAATTATATTATATAATTATATAAATATAATTATAATTATATAATTATATAAAATATAATTATATATTATAATTATATAATATGATATATATTATATAATTATAATATATAATATGATATATAATATATAATATAATTATATAAATATAATTATATAAAAATAATTATAATTATATAATTATATAAAATATAATTATAATTATATTATAATATAAAATATAATTATATATTATATATTATATAAAATATAATTATAATTATATAATATATAATATAATTATATAAATATAATTATATAAAAATAATTATAATTATATAATTATATAAAATATAATTATAATTATATAATTATATAAAATATAATTATATAAAATAATTATATAAAATATAATAATTATATAATTATATAAAATATAATTATATAAAATAATTATATAAAATATAATAATTATATAATTATATAAAATATAATAATTATATAATTATATAAAATATAATTATATAAAATAATTATATAAAATATAATTATAATTATATAATTATATAAAATATAATTATATAAAATATAATAATTATATAATTATATAAAATATAATTATATAATATAATTATATAAAATATAATTATATTATATAATTATATAAAATATAATTATATTATATAATTATATAAAATATAATTATATAAAATAATTATATAAAATAAAAATTATACAAGTATATATAATTATATATATTTATATATAATTATATATATTTTATATATATAATTATATATTTACATATATAATTATATGTATTATATATATATAATTATATATATAAAATATATAATTATATAAATATATAATTATATAACATATAATATAATATTACATAATATATATTACATGTATATATATTATAATATACATTATATAATATATATAATATATATTATATGTATATATACATATATATACATATATGCATATATACATATAATATATATACATATATGTATATATACACACATATATAATATGTATATATAATATAACATATATAAATACATATATAATATACATATTATATTATATATTATAATATATAAATATATAATTTAATATATATTATATAATATACATATTTATTATATTATGTAAATATAATATATAAATATATAAATAATAAGATAAATATAATATATAAATTACATATAATTTATATATTGTAACATAAAAATTATTCTAGTCTGATATGCTTTAATACAAATTTAAATAAATAATTTTTATATTAGTTTGTTATTCAGTTCTTGAAAACATAAACTCAAAAGATAGCTAATAAGATTAGAAAGTGGTCATGCTATTTTTAAGTAAAAAAATAGAATATCTGAATTTTACAGAGCCAATAAAATTGACTTTAGAAAAACGTACTCAAGTGTTAATAATAATTATCTCTGTGTGAAAGGACTTCAGGTGAATTTTATTTTTTAAAATAATTTTCTGGTTTTCTCATTTTAGTTAACAAGCATGTATTATTTTACCCTCATAAAAATTAAACACTGCTCAAATGCCTCCTATTTAATGAAAAGTAAAGATTACTGTTTGAAACATACACATGCCATCCTCCTTTCCTTTGAGAATCCCACTGAAATGACAAAAGTGCTATACAAAATTGAATAGACCCATGGTGACAGTGAATTAAAAAAGGGTAGGCTTCTTTTGATGGCTAGGTCAGAATAAACTGCAGCCCACATGGACACAGGCTGCAGTGGAGGCAGCATAGCCAGAGGGGTAGGTGAAGAAATCCACAGCAGGCTGTGATGGCCATCACATGGGCTCAGCCAACCCACTCCCAGCACTGCAGCTGAGCTCTCTCAACAAAGAGAATGGTTTACCTTAGGGGGACTCATGTGTGGGTGCTATGCCGGAGAAGAAGAGAGAAAGGAGGCCTGAGGGGACATGAAGTGACCCCTAATGTTCAAATTGCATCCTATAGGTAATCAAAGAAAAGCAGACAGACAGTGCCACCAAGAAGAAAACCATTGGAGATGCTTTTGAATCATCTCCAAACACGGGGCAGCTTCATTACTGGCCAACTACAATCTCTACTGCAAATCTAGCACTGGCAAGAGTGTTATTAAAAAAAAAAAGAGGAAAAGAAGAGCTAATTTTCATCCAAACATTTCTGTAGTGTTTTTGCAAAACAGCTATCTGTACTGAGTACAATGAAATCTGCATTAAAGCATATTTTGCCTCTAATGGGCAATTCCCTGTCTTAAGCAGTTTCTTCCAAGTGATCCTTTTTGGTAGAATCCAGCACTTATTTTTAAAAACTTTAGTTAAAATCTCATATATTGGTTACACAATTAATCTTCAGGGTAGATGCAAAATGGGTGTTTCATTGCAACTTTTTGGATTTTACACAGTCATTTTTTAAAACAGTTTCATTAATGTTTAAAACACATACTAGTAAGTAAAAGACTGTAATATATTAAAACATAAGGCTTTATGTTTTAAAAGAGAAGTTAAGGATCCCAGGGAATTAAATAATGTAATCAAAACACTGAAATCTGTTTCAAAGCAGTACTAGTTCACCGATAACCAAAAATAAAGGAGAAAAGGGGAAGTTCCCCCTGCTTAATGCTTACAAAAAGGACTTTTCTATATTGCTTTCACACTACATTATAGGTTTCCACATTACCAGGACTAGAGAATGAAAGAAGCGTATGAACATATATGGAGGATATGACCATTTTAAGTTTTACTTTTGGGATAAGACATATCAGAGTAACGCAAAGGCAAATTTGAGTATTTCCTCTCAACATGATATGATTGGCAAATATATACATACAATTAGTAATATATATGATTAATAATATAGAAATGTAAGGCCTTGATTACAAAAAATTACACTGGGAAATTTAATGTACTTCTTTCAGAATCTGACACATCTAGTAAAAATATAGGTAAAGATACAGACAATTTGAGTAACATAATCAAGAAACTCAATTTAATAGGAAACTGAATCATCCTAAATGTAATAGTCGAATCAGATGATGATTATTGATGGATGCTAAAAACAGTGGGTAAAAGATTGTTAGAAACAGGATATTTATACTGTCCTTAAGTATCCTCCCACAGATTAAAAACTAATTACAAAGGTAAAAATATACCTTTGCAACTGAGGTTAACACTGTCACCACATGAACAAACTTAGCATTACCAATGGTGGAACAACCTGACCTCATGTGCCCATTAGCACACAACAGTATCGATGAATATTCTTGCCAAAAATATTCAACCTGAATTTCAAGCCTTGACCTAATTTCTAGTTTACAGGAAATATAGCACCGAAAAGAATACATTAATTGTTGCTGTGGGAAAAAAAGCAAGTCCAGGGTGTGGAATAGTGTATGAAACAACTGACCTGGTTTCTTCTGAAAAAACAAAAAAGAAGGAAAAACTGATTAAAAAGACTAAAAAAAAAAAAAAAAAAAAGACCAAATGCAACACATTATCTTGATTGGATCCTGAATTTTAAAATATCTTATAAGTTTTTGCAATAACTGGAAAAATTTAAATATGTACTGATAATACTGTCAATTGTTAAAAAAATTTCTAGGTACAATAACTGTACTTTGGTTATCTAAGAGAATGTCCTTATTTCTAGGTGCAATGACGGTACTTTGGTTATCTAAGAGAATGTCCTTATTTCTAGGTGCAATAACGGTACTTTGGTTATCTAAGAGAATGTCCTTATTTCTAGGTGCAATAATGGTACTTTGGTTATCAAAGAGAATGTCCTTATTTCTAGGTGCAATAACGGTACTTTGGTTATCTAAGAGAATGTCCTCATTCTTAGAAGATGCATGCTTTAATATTTAGATAAGAAGCATGTGATGACTATTCTCACATTCAAATGGTTCAGTGAAAAAGCAACAAATTAAAAACCATTCACATAATTATATTTAATATATATGCATATTATGTATATATATGGAAAGGCAAGAATGCGAAGTGAGCAATTTATTAATAATGGGTGAAACTAGGTTAAGGGCATATCGATATTTATTTTACTATTAGGTTGAACCATACGAAATTGGCAATACTTGACCATTTTTTAGCTACAAATGACAATTTTACCTTGAATACACAAATTAACATAGGAGACACTAGAAAGGTGACAGAAGACACACCATTAAAAATGACTGAAGGAATCAGAGGGCTTCACAGTTGACTTTGATCTAGGTTTTAAAGACTAGATTATTTCTATATTATGTTATTTCAGAATATGAAAAAATGGAAAAGCCTTTAGTTCATGTTATGAATATAGCATATCCTTAATAATACCTAAACCCAGTAAAGATAGCTCCCTCCCCACAAAGGGAAAAAGAAAACTATAAGACTAATTCAAATTTATTATTATACATACAAAATTTTAGGGAAAAATAGTTATCTTGAGAATGTAAGGATAATTCAGTATCAGGACATCTATTAACATATTTCATCATACTAACAAATTAAAAGAAGAAGAAAACTGTATGATTATCTCAACATATTCTGAAAGTGCTCTCTCTATATAAATAATTCACTGACATTTCTAATCAAAGCTATAAGTTAAAATAGGATTATTTTATGAGTGCTGAGCACTGCTCAAAGGACATTAACATGTATCTTTTCCCATTTAATCTTTATACATTTAATCTCCAGAGATAGATGCTGTTATTACCCCCATTCTACTTTCTACAGTAAATGCCTAGGAGAGAGAATGCTTGGTGCTATGGTTTGAATGTTTTTTGTCCCCTCCAAATTTCACATTGAAATTTAATCCCCAATGCAACAATATTAGGAGTTGCAGCCTTTGGAAAGTGAATGACATTGGGTGCCCATATGAAAGGGTTTGAAGGAGGAAGTTTGTCCCTCTTGCTCTTCCACCTTCTGTCATGTGAGGACATAGTGTGTTTGTCCCCTCCAGAGAAGGCAGCATAAAGGTGCCATCCTGGAAGCAGAGAACCACCCTCACCAGAAAACTAAACCTGCTGGCACCTTTATCTTGGACTTCCCAGCTTCTAGAACTGGGAGAAAATAAATTTCTGTTCTTCGTAAGTTTTCCAGTCTTAGGTATTCTGTTATAGCAGCACAAAACAAACTAAGACACTGGGTCATATAGTAATTGTATTTTTACCTTATAATACACTGCTAAAGTGATTTACAGATTGGCTGTATTATTTTAGATTCCCACCAGCAATGTATTCTCTCTAGGTGTGTAGCTTTGTATTTTCATTCTCTGAACAGTGTTTTGGCAAAGTAAGGTATTTTCATGATTTTTTCTTTTATGGATGATGTTCTTCATATAATATCTAAGAATCCTTTGCCTAATTCAAAGTCATAAATACTTTCTCTTATGTTTTTTCTCGAAGTTTTATAGTTTTATATTTTGATCTATGATCCATTTTGAGTCAATTTCTTTGTAAGTTCTGAGGTTTAAGTCAAGGTTCATTTTTTGGCCTACGGATATTGTATTAGGTTTCTATTGCTGTGTAACAAACTACCAAACCTTAGCAGCATAAAACAACACCTATTAGCTCCCAGTTCTGTAGGTCTGATCTCTGGCATAATGTGACTGGATTTTCTGATTAGGATATCACAAGGCTGAAATGAAGGTACTGGCTAGGCTAGGTTCTTGTCTGGAGGCTCTGGAGGAAAATCTTTCTAATATCATTCTTCTTGTGGGCAGAATTCATTTCCTTGAGGTGTAAACTATGGCTCCCTTTTCCTTTCTGGCTGTCAGCCAGGTATTATTCCCAGCTCCCAGAGGCTTCCAAAATTCCTTGCCACGTAGCCACTTCCAACTTTAAGCCATGATGGCGCATCAAATCCTCCTGAATGTATGAGTTCCTCTTCAAAGACTTGCCAGAGAAAACTCTCTTCTTATAAAAAGGTTCATGTGATTAAGTCAGCCTCACAAGGTAATCTTCCTATTTCAAAGTCTACTGTGTCATATTAAGATAATCCATCATATTTGCAGTTCCAAGGATTATGCAAGTCATGTGTATCAGGATGGGGAGGGGCAGAAAATGCTGGGAGTCATCTTAGAATTCTACCAACCACAGATAGACACTTATTCTAATACCATTTGCTGAAAATACTATCCCTATGCCATTGAATTGTTTGTTAACCTTTACAAAAATCAATACGCCATAGTTGTGTAGGTCTATTTATGGGCTTTTTCTTCTGTTTAGTTAATTTATATGTCTATCCCTTTGTCAATATCACATTTTTTGGTTACAGAAATGTTAAAGTGAGTCTTAAAATCAAGCAATCTGAGTTTTCCAACTTCATTCTTTTTGAAAATCGTTTTAGCTATTCTAGTTACTCTGCATTTCTTTCTAAATTTAAAAATCAGTTTGCCTGTATCTACAAAATGTCCTCCTGCGATTTTGATTAGAATTGTATGAAATCTCTGGATCAATTTACAGAAAATTGATGTCTTAACTATATTTAGTCTTCTAATTCATAAACACAGCAAGCCTCTCCATTAATTTAGTTCTTTCTTGGTTTCTGTTATTGGTATTTTGTTTTCAATATACAGATCCTGCATGTGGTTTGTTAGGTTTAGTCCCAAGTATTTACATTTTTTTGAACTATTAGAAGTGGTATTGACTTTATTAGTTTCTGTTTCCAATTGCTCATTTCTAGTAGTTAGATATGCACTTGATTTTTGAGTACTGACCATGTATCCTACAACCTAAAATCACTTATTTCTAGAAGTTTTTTTTTTTTTAGGTTTCTTTTTTCTATATAAACAATTATAAAGGCTGAAAATTGGGCACTTTTATTTCTCTCTCTCTACACTGTATGTATCGTCTTTATTTTTCTTGTTTTATTGCACTGGCTAAGATTACCAGGACAATATTGAATTAGAGTTCCTTCCTAAAATTAGGAATATTTGTCTCATTCTTAATATTAGGGAGAAAGCATTTGGCTTTTCACTATTAAATATGATGTTAGGTATAAGTTTTTTTAGATGTCTTTTATTAGTTTAAGGAAGTTTTCTCTTATTCCTGGTTTGCCAAAAGTTTTTTTTAATCATGAATAAAAATTTTTATTAAATGCTTTTTCTGCATCTATTGATATGATCATGTTTTTCTTTTATCTGCTAATATACATTTCAGTGATTGATATTTACCTACTAAACCAGACTTGCATTCCTGAGATCAGTCCCACTTAATTGTAATGTGTAGCCTTTTTAAGTATTGCTGGACTTGATATTCTAGTATTCTGTGCAAGATTTTTGCATCTATGTGTATAAAAAAGATTGGACTATAGTTTTACTTTATTGTGATGATGTTTTACTTTTGTATTAGGGTAATTCTGGCCTCTTAAAATGAGTTGGAAGATATTGTTCTGCTTCTGTTTCTTGGAAAAGATTATTTAGAATTAGTGTTGTATCTTCTTTCAAAGAATTTGCCAGTGAAACCATCTGGGCTTGTAGTTTATTTTTTTGGAAGGTTTTAAACTCTAAATTCTATTTCTTTCTTTCTTTTTTTTTTTTTTGAGATAGAGTCTCACTCTGTCGCCCAGGCTGGAGTGCAGTGGCACAATATCGGCTCACTGCAACCTCTGCCTCCCAGGTTCAAGTTATTCTCCTGCCTCAGCCTCCCGAGTAGCTGAGATTACAGGTGCCTGTCACCATGCCTGACTAATTTTTGTATTTTTAATAGAGACGGAGTTTCACCATCTTGGCCAGGCTGGTCTCGAACTCCTGACCTCATGATCCATCCACCTTGGCCTCCCAGAGTGCTGGGATTATAGGCGTGAGCCACTGTGCCTGGCCAATTCTATATTTTTAATAGATACAGGATGATTCAGTTTATATATTTCTTCTTGAATGGGTTTTGGTAGTTTGTCAAGAATTGTTACATTTAATCTATTTTGTTGAACATATGTGCAGAGAAAATTGTTTGTAGTATTCCCTTATCATCAGTTTAATGGCTGTAAAATCTGTCATGATATTCTCCTTTCTTGCTCTGTTGCCAAGGCTGGAGTGCAGTGGTGTGATCATGGCTCACTGCAGCCTGTCTTCCAGGCTCAAATGATCCTCTTGCCTCAGCCTCCTGAGTAGCTGGGACTATAGGCATGTACCACCATGCCTGGCTAATTTTATTTTTTGCACAGATGGGGGTCTCCCTATGTTGCTCAGACTGCTGTCAAACTCCTGGGCTCAAGCAATTCTCCTGCCTTGGCCTCCCAAAATGCTGGGATAACAAACATAAGCCACCTGGTCTGGCCCCTCCTTTCATTTCTAATATTGATGATATGAGTCTTTTTCTTTTTGTCAGCGTCACTAGAAGTATATCAATTTTATTGCTCTTTTCAAAGAACCAGGTTTTGGTCATCGATTTTTCTCTACTGTTTCTCTATTACCAAGTCTATTGATTTCTGCTCAAATTTCTTTTTATCTTTCCTCTTACTTGTTTTGGGTTTAGTTCACTCTCTCAATGTTCTAATCCTGGAAGATTAGATTGTTCATTTGAAAACTTTCTTCTCTTCTAATATAGGTTTTCAGTGCTATACATTTCTTTCTGAGCGCTGCTTTAGCTGTATTCCACAAATTTTGAGATTATATTTTCATTTACTTCAAAATATTTTCTAATTTCTCTTGAGATTTTATCTTTGACTCATGGATTAGTTAGAATTGCATTAATTTTCAATTATTTGGAGATTTTTCAGTTATTTTTATATTTATTTCTCATTTAATTCCATTATGATCAGAGAACAAACACTGTATGTTATCATTTCTCTTAAATTAGAAAAGGTTTTATGACCTATGCTATTGCCTATTTTGCTGTAATTGTAAGCACTTGAAAAGAATGTGTATTATGCTGCTGTTGGGTAGAGTGTTCTATAAATGTCAATTAAATGCAGCTGGTTGTTAGAATAGTTCTTCTGTACCCTTGCAGATTTTCTATCTACTTGTTATATCAGTTACTCAGGGACAAGTACTGATGTTTGCAACTGTAAGTGTTAATTTGTCTCTCTTCCCTTTCAGATTTATCAATTTTTGCTTTATGTATTTTAAAGCTATATTCTTAGGTGCATACACATTTTATATAGTTCTGTCTTTTTGGAAAATAAACTCTTTTATCATTATGTAATTCCCTCTTTAATCCTTGGAAAATTTTCTTGCTCTCAAGACTATTTGATTTAATATAGCCACTCCAGCTTCATTTTGATTGGTGTTTGCATGGTACACCTTTTTTCATTCTTTTACACTTAACCTATCTATATCATTGTATTCAAAGTGTGTTTCTTATAGACAGCATATAGCTGAGTCTTGTTTTTAATCTGCCTTGACAATCTCTTTTAACTGATGTCTTCAGGCAATTTAGATTTAATGTAATTATTGTTATATTTGTATTTAGATCTATCATTTTATTACCTGTTTCCAGTTTGTTTTCTCTATTTTTCCCCTCTGTTTTCGTCTCCTGCCTTCCTTGAAGTTATTTGAATTGATTTGTTTTCCATTTTAATTTACCTATTGAACTTTTGACTATATCTCATTGTGTATGTGTTTTAGTGGTTGATCTACAAATTACAGTATGAGTATATAATTTTTTACAATACATTTTGAATTAATAGTTTACCACTTCAAGTGGAATGTAGAAAACTTACCACTTACAGGTCCCTCTACTCACTTTCCTTTTTGAGAACCCCATAAGACAATGTTAAAATTTTTCCTTCAATAACCATACATATTTTTAAAACCTTAAGAAAATATATTAAACAGATATTTACTATTTCTGTTGCTGCTCCTTCATTCCTGCTGTTCCAAGATTCCCTCCAATACCATTTTCCTTCCATATGAATACATTCCTTTGGCATTCTTTTTTTAAAGAGCAGATCTGCTGGTGAAAAATGTCATACTTTTGTTCAGATTAGATAATTTCTTATAATCTTCAAGTTCACGGAATCTTTCATCTGTCATCCTTTATTTTGTTTTTAAGCTAATTAAGAGAATATTTTGTTTTGGTCATTGCATTTTCCATTCTAAATTTTTTATTTATTTATGTATCTTCTATTTCTCTACAGTTTTTTTTTCATTTTTCCATTTGTTTCCATTGTGTATGCTCTTACTTCTTGGGGCATGGTTACAATAGCTGCTTTAAAGTCTTGATTCATTAATTCCAATATATGTGTCCATACTGGGTTAGCATCTTGTGAAATATTAAGATTTTTCCTGGATCTTGTGAGACATTAAGATTTTTCTGGGTATTCATATGCTAAAAAAATTATAGAAATTTGGATACTATGTTAGATAACTCTGGATCTGGAATGTTAAGTGACATAGGATTTTCCTGGGGAGAATGTTGAGATTTTGTTTTACCAGGTAATCAAACCAGATTTTGTCCAGAATGCAAGTTCTTATCTGCCTTCTGTTGCTGGTTGTTCCAATGTCAGTTAAGTTTGAAAGTCTTTGCAGTTGTCTTTAGATTTTTCCTGCATATGTGATACCCAGTGTCCAGTTGGGGAGCTGGGTAATGTTCTGACTTATAGTTCATTTCTTATTGTCTTAGGTGTATGCTGTTTAGGCTCAGACACATGCATATACAGCCTAATTTTGAGCTCGAAAATTTATAGACAACTTTATAGGGTCGATTTCTCAAACTCCCTTCTCTCTACAATCTTCTCTACATTTTCTACCTTCCCAAAGCCTCTTTTCCTGGTCCTCTGGCTAAAAACTCAGAGTTTTAATTTTCCCACAGTGCTGCATATTTTCTATGATTTTCCCATAACATTGCACCTGTTTCCAAGGCTAATCGGTGAGAGGATTAAGAGAAAAAAAAATACAATGGGAATTCTCCCCCATGATCTTAGGACCAAAGTTCCTCTGGTTGATATTTTAGCTGCCTTTGTAACTGTTGCTGCCATCGTCACCTGTCACCTTATGATTGCTGGGATTGGGGAAAAGAGAATGAAGAAAACAACAACAAATCTAAGGCATATGTCCACTCTTCTGACCCACAAATGTCCCCTTTCCTTTATCTTGTTCCAGAAACAAAGAATTTCTCTTGTAGCTTTCTCTCTCTTTCTTATTTTATAATTCTGGTGTTAAATTGTCTATGAGTCCAGGCCAAGAGATTCCAGAGAGGAAACAAAACGAAAACTCACCACCAGTTCAATAGTACTCTGAATTCTGGTTTATTCCCCGAATATGTCTGTTACCATTTACTTTTTAGAATCCTTGTATAACTGCTACATGCTTTGTTCAGTGTTTTTAGCTGCATTCAGAGGGAGAGAAAGTGGGTGGAGTAAGTGTGCTTACTCCATTTTGACCAGAACTGGTACCCTTCTCCACAGCCTTTGAATAACAAGTTCCATCTACTGCATTCAAAATCACTTTTTTTTTTCAAACGTTGGCTGTTACCTAAAGTACAAATACATCTATTACTTAAAGTAAGGACACCATATTGGATAATGCTTTATGATAACAGGCTAATAAGTCTCCTTTAATAGACCAGAATGTCCATTGTTTGGTAAACTTAGTAAATGAGAGAAGCTTATTGATACCGATATTCTCAAGAGCACCTTCAGAGAAGACGACTAAGAACATGGCTTGTGGATGATAGCTGGCAGTTGTGGAGTTAAAGACTGTTATCTCTGGACCTGAGACAATTTGGCACACAGAAATAAAGCGTATTAAAGAACCCAGATGGCACTGAAAGCAAATTTAGGAACTGCTAATTCATAACAATTGTTATAAACCTAGAATATTTTTAGGTTAAAAACAAGTTACTATAGTTATCCAATATCTCTAATGTAACAAGTCAAACTAGATTGATTTAAGCAATAAATATTTAGATTTATGAAATGTATTGTAGAAGAACATAAAGAAAATAGAACAAAACTATAAAAGGCAGTACCAGGTATGGAATAAATCTACATTCAAATGAGTAAACTGGTTTTCCATGTTTCATGAGAGAGCATATTTCTCAGGTCTGCGGATTGACATTGATTAAATTGATACAAAGTATACAAATTTGCAGAAAATCACTACAAAATATAATACAATCAATACAGCTTGATGAAATGTTACAAATTAAATATCTAAAAAGTTCCCAAGCAAAGATTATTATGTTAAGAAGGAGATAGAAGCATGTTTTAGAAAGAATCTTTTTGAGCTATTGGATAATATAATCCTTTTTGTGAGCATTTTTCTTTAAGGCGTTTATCATTTTAAATGCAGAAATAGGAGTTGCCTGTAAAATTGGTGAGTCTAATTACTATGGAAAATGGTCTAAACCTTCCAGAGACTATTTCTATTTCCCATGTATACCATGCTTTCATAAATATAATTAATTAATAATAGTTTATATGTGTATGTGCGTCAGGGGGACAATAAAATAGTATTTGGGTAAGAAAAGGCTCATAGGTATCCTCTGGTACTGTTATAGCAATATTTGTTGAGCACTTACTGTGTGCCCTAAATTCTGTACACACAGAATGCTCAATCCTTATAATGTTCGAAAGGGGTAGATATCATTATTCCAATTTTACAGATTAAGAAATTTGAGGAATAAAGACATTAAATTTATTGCTCAAAATCCTACAGCTTTAAGAGAGGGAGGCACAATTAGGACCTGCTCAGTCTAACTCCACAGTATATGTGTGTATTGATAGACTACATTAATATAACAATGAAGCAAACTGTTAAACCCACATGAAACTTTGAATGCTAGAAAGAAAACCAAACAGAACACAATCAATATTAAGATAACTTAATTATATATATTCCTCCATTGTATTAAATTAACATTTCCTCACCTCAGTAATCAAGGAAGTCTGTATGGAAGCAGATATATTTAACTCTGCTATTATTTAAGACTTAAAGATATTACTAAGGACAGTTCTCTTTTTATCTTTGTATACATATTTGTGATGGCTGTTATCTTAAAACTTTGTAGCCAATGGGTATAAATGATAAATAAATCATTTGAGGATGGCTTTTGGTCATAAACCAAAAATTGAATATAAATATTTAAGTAAAATATTGATTGTGGGCTGGTGTGGTGGCTCATGCCTGTAATGCCAGCACTTCGGAAGTTTGGGGTTGGAGGATTGCTTGAGCTCAGGAGTTTGAGATCAGCTTGGGCAATGTAATGAGACCTCATCTCTGCTAAAAATAATTTTAAAAAGATTAGCTGGGCATGGTGGTGCACACCTGTAGTCTCAGCTACTTGAGAGGCTGAGGCAGGAGGATCACTTGAGCCCAGCAGATCAAGGCTGTGGGGAGCTATGATTGAGCCACTGCACTCCACCCTCGGTGAGAGAGCAAGACACTCTCAAAAAAAAAAATTAATAGTAGAAGGATTGCACTATCTAAAAGTTACTCACTCTGCAATAGACGTAAGTCAATGTATGCTAACAAATTTTTTTACTGATTTGGGGAAGAGGCTGACGGCAGGATAGTTTGGGATCCTGAATAGGGTTGGGAGATGAGCATGAGGGTAACAAATTCCTATAAGTACCGTAATTCTAAATTCCTGTAATTGAGGAAGACAATCTTCTCCACTTGGCTACTTTGGACTAATCTCATTTTATTTACCCGTAACTGTCCCAGGTCAAAAAGAAAACCTGCACTGAAGAATTTCTGTGTTGTATGAGCCAGTCAGCCCAATCACTTGTGATGGATGAAGATTTCCTGTGTTTGTTTTTAACAGGCCTGTCTTGGTTTAAAAAGTACATTTCTTTCTTCAAAGGATTTGTTAATCAGGGTAGATTGCAGGCATTGAGAATAAGCTCATTTATTCAGGGTGCCAGAAGAATGCACTAGTTGAGTGTGCAGGCCCTAGGCTTAGGCTCCCCAGATTGGAGCCTGATTCTGCAGCCTGGCGGTGGTGTAACCATGGGCCACGGTGGCAGTTGTCAACCACCCTGGGAAGCGGCTACTATCATCATCCCCATTTTATAGATTAGAAGCTGAGTCACAAGGAGGTTATATACTTTGCATTTTATTATCTGATATCTGGCACAGAGTAAGCACTCAATACAAGTCAGTTATTATTGGTAGAGTGTTTAGAGGTCAAAATTTGGAAGCTGTAAAGGTTATCTTGTTGAGGGCACTTTTCTAATGTCAGCTGGGAGACAAGTTCTGTGTTAGTCTGGCATTCAAGGCCTTCCACACTGTGATTCAGATATTGTGAAGAGATGGGTCCTACATTCTCATCTGGGGAGCCCGGGGAAGGTTTGCACTGTGGTATGGGCTCCATTCTCATGAGCTATTTGCTGAAAGTTTCTTGGCTCCATGCGGTGCTCTACCCTAAGCCAAGAATGGGGTTACCATCTTGAAGCTTATTATCTGGTGCCACTGCCAGAGAGCTCTGCCCTGTGGTCTTTAATGTTTATTTGTAAGCATGTGCAACCATTTGGTCGATAATCTTGTTTACTGGCTTTTGTAGGGCAAAGCCTAACACCTTTGGTCTTTTTTGTTTCCTGGGTAACAGCAGAGCTAGTCCTTGGAGACTCCTGTTGGGTTTTCCTCACCGCCAGTATTAATGTATTCCACAGAAGGGAGGAGAACCGGATTTTAATCAAGAAACCATTCTACTTTATTTTACATGAAAACCTCCAAAATAATGCTGGAGGAGTCTTTTCCTTTTCTCCAGAATTTTAAAAAGCAAAGGTCTGATTTATTTTCAATGCTGCATTACAAACATTTTATGATTATTTTTAAAAAGAAAAATACAACAGCTCCAGGACAAGAAATTTGAATGGTGCTTAGGACAAGACTCAATCAATGGAAAATTTGGTTCACATATAAAGATCATTATTTGTTTCTCTAAACATAGGATCATTACTGTTTTAAAGTCAGTTCCATCAAAGTGCAATTCATATTAATACTATCAATTTTTGCTTTATATAAAACATTTTCTTTGCATCCTACTGTGGTAGTTTGCAGCTGGATGGCAAATTTTATGGGGATTAAAAAAACTAATTCAAGTACATATCAAATAATTTCAGAGAAAAAAATATAGACTCAAGAAGGGAAGGCCACGTAAAGTAGATAAACAAATCACATTCCAATTGAGGGTGTTTGGGTTCATTCAATATCACGTTTGTCTTCGTGTCTCTTGGGTTTCTCCATTTGTGTGATTTTATTAAAGCTCCAATTTACTTACTTCGTGGTGTTTTTGGAGAAGAGTCTGACAAGAAAGTTGGTTAACGAGATATAGCTCTGTAAACAAGCAAAGCCTTGCTAAATAGAGTCTAAATGATGGGTGACTATGAGTTTAAAGCCATAATGGAATTGAGAATTTCTTTGACAACATTATAAACCATGGTAGGAAAGTGGAGCATATGATGGTATCACTGCAAGTTAGTGTGTATTTGTATACACACAGTGACATAGTTTTATTCTTTAATGTTTATTCTATTATGTCCTATTTCCTGCCCACTGATCGGTGCACAGTGACTCTTCCTCTTTAAGTGAGCCCCTCCTCCCTTTAGTATAGGTGCTAAGGAATCTACACTGCAGGCTCAGGTGTGCCTGGCCCTTGGCAACCCTGACATCTGACAGTATCAATATTAGCTCCATCTCCACTAGCGGTAGGAAGTCTAAACCAGCGATTCTCAAAATGTGGCCCTGGGACCAGCAACAGAGGCATTTCCTGGATGTGGTAGAAATACAAATTCTCAGGCCTTGACCAAGACCTACTGGATGAGAAACTTGGGCTGGGGCTTAGCAATCTGGGTTTTAATGAGCCCTCTAAGTGGTTCTGATGTTCATTCAAGTTTGAGAGCCATTGGTCTTAACTTTTTCTGCCCTGTATCTATCTGTCTGGGTTTACTTCCTGGGTGCCCACAAATCTATGAACTTCAGTTTTTCCCCTTTAGTTTTCTCATGATTGGGTCTCTGGTCTCTTTGGGTTTCTGCCCTGATGTCAGATTTATACTCTAGTTCCCAGCTGAGATCATCAACTTGCTCACTAGACTGGAACCCTGTCAGCTCAATTCCCTAAACACATCACAGTCCTGCCTTTACTCATCTCCCTCCTGGCTGGTGGCCAAGTCTGGCACTGAATTGGTTGGGCCATTTGGAGCCGGTTCCTGCTGGGGCATCGCCATGACCTGGCTGCCCCATGCTGTGCCCCCTGGAAGACTGCCATAACACTGGCCAGGCTGACTACCAGGCACTTCACCCCTGGACACTATGGTTCACATCAGTATCTCTCCTTTCTTACTAGGCTTTGTCCTATAACCTGGATAACTGTCCTAACCTGTTTAAAGCCCCACTATAATACTCCCCTCTCCCTGCTGGACCAGATATTAAGGGGCTGCATAAGTTATGACACCTATTTGAAGTCAGTGGATGCTTTTGGAAAACACTTTAAGGGAGTTAGGTAAATACTTTAGGATAAAACATGTTACTGATTTGGGGACAACTTCTTTTGGGGTAGAAAAAGAAATAGTAGAAAACAAATTATATTTTATTGCTTTAAGGAAATCCTGACATCACTACTTTATGTTCTGAATATTTGAACTCACCTAATAGTGTATTCAGTACTTGCATTTTGTGGGGACCAGCATCCTCTAACTTGGTTTCCAAGCCCTAATTTTTCCATGCAAGGATCTACCTATTGAATTTTGTTTTCCAGAAACCTAAACACACCACCGTCTTACTAACAGTTCACAGGAGACTCAGTGTTATAGAGTTTAATGCAATCTGTGTACTCATCCATGGGAGCCTACAGGTAACCACCACTGTGAAAGAAATTGCAAGTCACATTTATGTGCCTAGGAAGTAATTCAAGAAGCATTTGAAAACACTCCCTATTCACCTTTAGTCAAAGCCTTTTTATGTGTTTAGCAATATTCTCAGTACTTCAGGAAGTCCTTTTTTTCCTTGAATTTGGTTTAATGCATAACCAGTTGGCCTGGTTTGAGCATAAGGTTTCTTATACTAAACTTGTGAGACCTGCAGTGAATGGTTAATGAAAGTGTTTACATTTGTGGTTGTATTCATTTAACTTTTCATGAATTATGTATTCAATCCTACTATGTGCCAGGCACTATACTAGGTGCTGTAATAACAGACTCTTGACTGTAAGAATCTTCTTGGAAGTCCTTTTCTAGTCAGATGGATCTTTACGTGTTGAAGGCAGTAGGTATAAATCTGTCTTATAGATAATAGGTAGGAGTCAGGAAGGGACTGCATGATCATCAAAATGTATAGATTTGATAAATAAAATGTGATTTGCCTAAAGCACTGTTATTACCTTCTGGGATATGAAAATGAGGACCCAGGTCACAAGAACATTAAACAAAGACAGCCACACTTTAAAATAGATTTACCCCTTTTCACAATTGACACCAGCTACCCGTTTCTGTCAAATTGTCTGCTCCTCCCATACTTCAGGTTTATAGCAATCATCTTCCAGAACTGCTTATTGGAGGGCCACTGACTGAAGCCTTTATCCCCTTTTCCTGTATGAAAGTGTCTAACTTGTGTCTATAGCATCCCTCTGGCTAAGCATATGGCTCACTAAGCAAGTATGTTTAAGCATTTCCTATGTCCCTGTTTCTGTTGTAAGTGCGGTGAGGAATTAAAAAACAATAAATTCACTTTATCCTTTGTATTATAGATTTCTCTGTATCAGTCCTACTGGATTGTATCTTGAGGACAAGACCTGTGTCTTATTTTTGTAAACTCCACAGTATACCACATTGTACTGAATACAGATTGTTGAATGGAAGAATTGATAGATGAATAAATAAATTTCTAGGGACAGACTATAAACAGACATCATCCTAGGATTTGGAAGCCTCCTGGAAAAGTCAGTGTGGTTGGTACTATGTCATATTGTTTCACCTTATGAGTGAAGGTCAACTTGACTGCTGGGAAAGTTAGGGTAGGACCTGCCACTGTACTATTGACTAAGTCAGCAATACCAGAAATTGAACAGCGCAGCCATGCCTCATAATGATTTCCTTTGCTAGACGGTGTCACTCACCTGATCTGAAGCCAAGTCAACATGGGGGTTGTTCCTCCTCCAAATACCCAGACAGTGAAGAACACGAGGAGCAGCGTAGTGGTAAACATCATTTGTTTGGGCTGAGATTCTGTGTTCCGAATAGCTAAGGCAAATGCGATCGCTCCTCGCAAACCTTGCAGGAAAAACCAAAGGAGAAAATAAATGCCTTGCAGGTGTCTTTTTCATTTCAATGGATTCATCTTTACAATTTGCTGACACAATTTTTTTAAATTAATCTTTTTATTTTGAGATAATTATAGATTCATAAAGAGTTGTAAGAAATAAAACAGAAAGACACTGTGTACTATTTCTTCAGTTTCCCCTCAATGATATCATGCAAAACTATAGCTCAATATGTCAACCAGAATATTGACATTGATCCAGTCAAGATAAAGAACATTTCTGGCTGGGTGCAGTGGCTCACACTTGTAATCTCAGCACTTTGGGAAGTTGAAGTGGGAAAATCACATGAAGTCAGGCATTCGAGACCAGCCTGGGCAACAAAGCAAGACCCTGTCTCTACAGATTTTTTTTTAAATTAGCCAGGCATGGTGGCATGTGTCTTTAGTCCCAGCTACTCGAAAGGATCACTTAAGCCCAGGAGTTCAAGGCTGCAATGAGCTAGGATTATGCCATCAGTCTGAGTGACAGAATAAGTCCCTGGCTCTAAAGAGAGAGAGAGAGAGAGAGAGAGAGAGAGACAGAAACATTTCCATCACCACAAGGATCCTTCACATTGCCCTTTTATAACCACACCTACTTCCCTCCCACATACTCACTCCTTAATTCCTAACAACCAGTAATCTATTCTCTGTTAGGATGATTTTTGTCATTTCAAGACAGTTATATAAATGGAACCATGCAGTATATAGTCTCTTGGAATTGCCTTTTTTTAACCCAGCAAAAGTTGCTGGATAATCATTCAGGTTGCTGAATTATTGACAGTTGTTCCTTTTTATTACTGAGTAATATTCCACAGTCTGGGTGTTCTACAGTTTGTTTAACCACACGTCTGTTGAAGGGTATCTGAGTTGTTTTCAGTTTTTGGTTATTACAAGAAAGGATGCTAAAATTTACATACAGATTATTGTGTGAACGTAAGTTTTCATTTCCCTGAGATATATGCCCAGGAGTACAATCACTAGGTAGTATAGTATTTGCATATTTAGGTTTTTAAGAAATCACTCAATTGTTTTCCAGAGTGGCTGTAACATTTTACATTCCTACCAGCAATATATAAGTCATCCAATTTCTCTGCCTCCTTGGCAGATTGGTGATTTAACTTCTTCATTGAATTGCTTTTGGAACTCCATCAAAAACCAGCTGGGTATATTTGTGTAGGTCTATTTCTCAGTTCTGTACTTTGTTCCATTGATCTATGTGTCTGTCCTTCTTCTAATAGCACACTGTCTTAATTACTGTAGCTATATAATAAGCCTTAACATTGGGTAGAGTGATTCTGCCCACCTTATTTCTTGTTTTCAAAATTGTTTTAGCTATTCTAGTTATTTTGCATTTCCATAAAATTTTAGAATAATATTGGCTGTATATACAAAAGAAACTTTCTGGGAACAATTACTTTTTAAAAATCAAATGTGTCAGACAACAAAGAAAACTAAGCTTATGGACCACTGAAAATTAAATAATTAAATGACATTTAAAATTACTCCAGAATGATTACATAGTTTTACAAAATCTATAATCTAAACTAGTATATTAAAACCTGTTTTTTCTTATTTTACTTTTTCTTTTGTAATATTATGCTAATTGCATTTTTATGAATCCATATTAAATATATTTGCAAGAAGTATTAAAGATGAAGGGCTGGGCATGGTGGTTCACGCCTGTAATCCCAGCACTTCGGGAGGCCGAGGTGGGCAGATCATGAGGTCAGGAGTTTGAGACCAGCCTGGCCAACATGGTGAAACCCCATCTCTACTAAAAATACAAAAATTAGCTGGGCATAGTGGCGCACACCTATAGTCCCAATTACTTGGGAGGCTGAAGCAGGAGAATTGCTTGAACCTGGGAGGTGGAGGTTGCAGTGAGCTGAGATCGTGCCATTGCACTGCAGCCTGCATGACAGAGTGAGACTTCATCTCAAACAAACAAACAAACAAACAAAAAACAAATACTAGAACTTGAAATCGAAACGTGATGACACTAATAAAAATAGAAATATAGACTTGGAAGAAGAGTAAATAAAAGCACAACTAGCAAAGGAAAGGAGCTAAAATGGAAGGTCTCTCTTGGGTAACACACGACATGCAAGACATTTATAGTCCCTGTTATATTGTGCAATAGGACAAATAAAGATTTATAACGACACCTAGTATAAGCCAAAGAGGTAGTGATTTGGTTATTTTTGTTGAAAGGTTTGAATCATACATATAAAATCTCAATGATCCACTTTTTATAATATTTATTATAGCATCTAGGTTTCTAAATTTCTAAATCTGTATTCGTACATTAAAGGAATTTTAAAAAGTAGACACAGGGCAGAATGAGAAAAACTATAACCATCCTGGTTTTTGTTTCTAGGTTCTCAACTTAGAATATAACGCTCCTTTCTTACCTCCATGCTGAGACTATTCAAGAGACAAGTGGCATAACACAAGAGCCACAGGATTCGACTAGAGAGACTTAATATGTTTTGCCTGAAACAAGGAAATCTCCGAAAGAGAGAAGAACATGCACTCTGATTATAAAATACCTTCAAGGAACAAAATGTAATGGAGGAAGGAAATTATTCTAAATCTCCACGTAGACATGGAAATGGCCTATAGATAAGGAAGATAACATTTGAAGTAGATATTAATAAAAAAGTTCTTACACATCAGAAATTCTGAACACTTGAGATGGCTGTACTCAAGAAAAAAAGGCCCCACCAGAAGTATTTGTGCATTCATACCCAGCTGGGGATAAGAGTGGGGATATTAATAACCCTTAATACTGGTGACTATTTTAATAGTGTTCTCACCAGGAAATACAAATGGGATCATTAGGGAATGAGAACTCAAGGAAACAGTCGTACAATAGACTTCTGTATCTGAGGAGAGAATTTATAGGTCATGGTAAAGCTTCTAGCAGTGTTTAATCATAGTACAAGATTGGAGATAGAAAGTGAACTTTCCGGCTGGGGGAGGGGTGGCTCACACCTGTAATCTCAGCACTTTGGGAGGCTGAGGCGGGTGGTGGATTACCTGAGGTCAGGAATTTGAGACCAGCCTGGCCAACATAGTAAAACCCTGCCTCTACTAAAAATACAAAAAATTAGCTGGGTGTGATGGTGGATGCCTGTAATCCCAGCTACTATGGAGGCTGAGGCAGGAGAATCACTTGAACCTGGGAGGCGGAGGTTTCAGTGAGCCAAGATCGCGCCATTGTACTCCAGCCTGGGCAACAAGAGCGAAATTCTGGCTCAAAAAAAAAAAAAAGAAAAGAAAAAGAAAGTGAACTTTCAAATTTCTCCTTTCCTCAAGCTCATAGTGATAGAAATGTCCATAAAGCAGCACCATGGCAAAGTACGTAACATTAGAAGTATTAGACAATCAGTTGCTAAGTATTAATAGTTCTCATTGATATAAATATTTGTAGTTTTTTAACTTTGTGTCTCTGTGACAAAGACGAGAAACTAGAATACAAATTAAAACTTGCAATAAGATGCCTAGTATCAACTATTTCATGCTGGATATTAAGGGCAAGGAGGTAAGCAATCATTAATCTTACTAAGAATGTTTAATAATGTATTGTTATTATGTTAAACTAGGGCAACTATGCTCTTAAATCTAAATTATCTATACATGAGCAATTCTTGGTTTAAAAATATACTCAAATATATGTTATACTGACTTTTGAAAAAATCTATATCTATATATAGAACATCTATATTTACAGGAGATGCAATGCAGAGATTTCAGAAACAAATGGAAAAGTACAGCCACTATCTCGTGGCAGGTTGAGAAACATTGTTAATCGGGGCCAAACCCCAAGATGTTGAAAAGAGGATGCCTTCTCAATGTTATAACCACCTAAGAAAACATAGATACAGGGTGTTCTTAGAGATGGGATCATCTGTCCATAGCCCTGGTAACATGTGGCACGCACGGCACTGCGGCACTGGAAGCACGGGGCTGAGAATGGTGAGGCTGCCGGGTGGACAAAGTGAAGCTAATGTAGAACTCCAGATGAGGTGGACTATTGTCTATGTCCTACCCATCCTTTGTGACTCTGAAGTTGCTTATCATACATTTGGAGCCTAGATAAATGTGAAACCAATGCTTCATTCATTGATTCATTTAAAGTGTGTGTATTGATTACCTCCTATGTGGAGGCTCTGGACATATTGATCCTATCTTCTTAATGCTATGGTTTTGGGCAATAGAGGATTTTAGGATTGAAATAGATTATTAGGGTACCAGCAAAATACTAAAAATGAAAAATGAATATTGACTTAGGATTTTCTTTTTAGCCAAACATTATTTCCAAAAAACACACACCATTTCTCTTAAAAACTCAAGAAATCTAGAACTTGTCAAAACTTGTGTTTTGTATTGTTTTATGAATACTCTGAGTTTGAGTCTTTGGGTTTTATCTTTCTTTTTCTTTTTGTTTTGGCCAACTAATCAAAATAATTTTATACTTTTGAGGGTCGACAGACTATACCATTTCATTTTAAATGGGTTTACTTTGCAGAGATTTTGACATATTTCATATGCCCAGTTGGAAATTTAGCATCACCTTGGGGAATAAAGGAATTACCTGCAATTAAATGTGGTTTCATTTAAAATTGCCCTCTAAGGGATTCTTATGTTAATTATGTTGATGTTCTATTCATAACAATAGAAAACTATTGAACCAAGGAAAGCTTTCTAGCAAGCACTCGTGCTGCAGAAAATGTGCAGCTTCCTGTTTATCTTCAAAGGGCAAAAGTGAAGCCTTTAATCAATTACAAATTTGCAAATGTGTTCTGAATAGGTGAAGGTCAGACATAACTAAACTTAAATCACAGGAATATAAATATTTCTTAGGGCATCTTGATTTAAGGTGCAAAGCAATAAACTAAAAGCATTTCCTGAGCACTCACTATATGCTAAGCTTTATCCCAGACACAGTACAAGAATGACAGTTTGGCTGCTCTGTTCCAGTGTTCATGGTCCTACAAACATGACTCTTTTAAAAGGTAAACTGTAAGAAGGTGTATTAGAGATGCAAAAGAGGATACTTTGAAAGTATAGTTTGATGAGGAAAAAGATTGCTATACCTCATGAGGGCCCAAATCGTGAGCATCGTCATGAACTGATGTGCAGCATTTAAGGCACTGAAATAAATGGTGAGGCAAAAGAGACCTTTGTGTACATAATTTTCTATGCCCAAATCTTTTTTTCTCATCTAAATTTTCTCAGTTCTTTTCTCCTATAACCCTCATCAAAACTTCACTGAATTCCAAGTTGTCTTCAGAGCTCAAATGAGACACTGTTTTCTCCACAAAGCCTTCTCTGACATCTGGGTCTGGGTTAGGCTGGGTTATATTCCTAACACAATCCCTGTTTGCCCTATCAGAGCCCTTATTACTGTACCTTGCAATTGGCCAGTTCTGTTTAGCTGTGACATCTAAAGCAATACTAAGCACACAGTAGGCACTCAATAACGATTTGTCCAACAAATCAATGAATGGATGAATTTTCTGATTCTTCAATAATGTCTGGTTACATACGGAAAAGTGATTGATACCTCCTAGATTAATGTAATGGTTTCAGAATAGTTTCTACAAGTTCAGTTTCTGCCTTGTTATTATTTATTGAGATCCTTTAAAACCTTATTTTGAGAGTCAAGAGTTCTGGTATCTGCCCTCAGGCCTGCCCCACAGGCTGCATGACCATAAGCAGGTTACCTCATCTAGATTTCTGTTACCTCATCTCCAAATGGAGGTTTACAACTAGACTTGTGTTTTTTTTTTTTTCACTAGAAGTGCACATCAGAATCACGTGGAACTTAAAAATATATGTAGTCACTCACGCCAGCATCCCGACTAGAGATTCTGATGCAGCAGAGGACGAGGTATATGAGAGCCCAGCTCCTCTCATTTCCCACTGCACCACCTTGGCCTAAGACCCATCTCACAACCTGCCTGTGCCCCGAACCACTCTCTGGTCTTGGCCTCAAGCCTCTATTCTCTTCTTCTTCCAGTCCATCTTGTTGATGTTCCTCAGAACAGCTTCCTCAAAACCTAGCTTTATGAGGTCACGATTCAACTCAGCAAGAAGAACCCAGTAGCTTCCCACAGCCCAGAGATACCTCTCACTCAGAACCCCACCCTACTTTTCCTGTTTACTTCCTCTTCTCCATTGAGAACTTCCATAAGCAAGGCAGGTTTCTCTCCTCCCATAAATGACTGTTATCCCCACCTCTGTGCCATGGCCTCACCATTAATTTCTTGCTTCAGTGCTGGATTTCTGCCTTTCCTTTGTGCTTCTCCAAACTTCACCCATTTGAACGATCTTTCTTCCCTCATCCCACTCCTATGAAGTTTTCCTGGAATACTTTAGTCCACTTTGTTCTCTCTTTCTTAGAAATCTAATGAAACATACTGCCCATGCCACTTGTATTATTAAATCATAGTCTGAAATGAATCAGTACTTTAATGTGGTCTTTTTCTCCGACTCCCAATTTTTTAGAAGTTTGGAGTTATATCTCCTTACATAGTTCTTATGTCTTTCATAATACCCAGAACACAAAACTCTGTAAATGCTTTCAAATCGAACTACTGTAGTGGTTTCAGGCCCTCTAGATATGGGATGGTGATATTCATATATTCATTCACTGATTAATTCATTCAGGCTCCAGGTGATAGTGGCAAACAAGACCTTAATTTAAAGGTGTTTCTAGGTTGATTATGTCAGGTGGTATGAAGAAAACCAAAGTAGGGTAAGGGGACAGAGAGTATTTATATGTGAGGGGAGGGATGTTAGCATGGTTAGGAAAGCCTCTCTGGTTAGGTGACATTTGAGCAGAGAACCTAATAGAGGGAGAAGCCATCTGGGTATCTGGAGGAAAATCATTCTAGGCTTCGGGAATAGTAGGTGCAAAATCCTGAGGCAGGCCAATGCCTGGTGTGCTTAAGCTGTGGCAAGGAGGCTGGTGTGATGGGAGCAGGATAAACAGGGTGGAGCTGGGAGGCAGTGGAAGGAGATAATGCCAGAGAGGTGACATAGCCAAATCATACTGGGCTTTTGAATAGCAAGGCTTTTGAATTTTATTTTGAGATAGTAAACTTTAGGAAGGTTTTAATGCAAGATAGTGATAGGATCTGTTCTATGCTTAAAAACTCTGACTCTGATAGGAAAACAGGTTGCTGATAGGAGGCCAGTGAGGAGGCTGCCTTGTTAGTCCAGGCGAGAAGTGAATGCAGATCAGACCACTGATGATAGCACGGCAGGTGCTGAATGTATGTCAAAGGTTGATGTTTGTTGATGGGTCAGATGAGGGGTATGAGAGGAGAACTCAGCCCTGGAAGAATTGGGGAAGCCCAGGGGAAGAGCATGTCTGGGTGTATAAGGGCGATCAAGGGTTGTGTTCCCGCTTTATTACATCTGAGCTGCCTATTAGTCTTCCAAGCAGAGAGGCTGAGTGAGTGATTAGATATGAGTGTGGAGTTCAGGGGAAAGGTTAGGATCTTTTACTGAAGAGAGTAGAAAGATATGAGGATAGTTGGAAGCTTGAAAAATGTAGGAAGATGAAGTTTATTTTGAACCAGGTTTGTTCTTGCCTTGAGGCCTTTGTACTTGCAGCTTTTCCCACCTGCAGTGCTCCCCTGAGTCATCCCTTGGCTGTGCCCATCATCTCAGTCCTCAGAAAGGCTGCCCTGACCATCAGACCTAAGTGCTCTCACCTTCACCCAGGTTTTTTTTTTTTTTTTTGAGACAGAGTCTTGCTCTGTTGCCCAGGCTGGAGTGCAGTGGCACGATCTCAGCTCACTGTAACCTCCGCCTCCTGGGTTCAAGTGATTCCCTTGCCTCAGCCTCCTGAGTAGCTGGGACTACAGGCAAACACTACCACACCTGGCTCATTTTTTTTTTTTTTTTGTATTTTAGTAGAGACAGGGTTTCACCATGTTGGTCAGGATGGTTTCGATTTCCTGACTCTGTGATCTACCCGCCTCGGCCTCCCAAAGTGCTGGGATTACAGGCGTGAGCCACTGTGCCTGGCCGTTTGTTTTTCATTGCACTGATCACCATCGGAAATGATCTTGTTTATATTCTGGTCTTTAAGATCTGTCTTTCTGTGCTGGAAAGTACGCTTGGTAAGAGCTGACCTCTGGTTTGCTGCCTCTGCTGTGGCATTTCCAGAGCTAGATGGCACCTCTTATAGGGTAGGTGCTCTGCAAGCAATGGATGAATCCATAAGTGAATGGATAAGAGGAGGTCATTTTTGTGTTTAAAAGTACAATTAGAGGCCGGGTGCAGTGGCTCATGCCTGTAATCCCAGCACTTTGGGAGGCCAAGGCGGGTGGATCACGAGGTCAGGAGATCGAGACCATCCTGGCTAACACGGTGAAACCCCGTCTCTACTACAAGTACAAAAAATTAGCTGGGCGTGGTGGTGAATGCCTGTAGTCCCAGGTACTCGGGAGGCTGAGGCAGGAGAATGGCATGAACCTGGGAGGCAGAGCTTGCAGTAAGCTGAGGTTGCGCCACTGCACTCCAGCCTGGGCGACAGAGCGAGACTCCATCTCAAAAAAAAAAAAAAAGTACAATTGGAACCCAAAAGAAAATGAGCAGTAGATGGACAGGGATGAGAACTGTCCCTGATAAATGGATCTATCCTTTAAAAGAAAAGTCCTTTAGATGCATTATTTTGCTGCCTGTCTTTCCATTTGGGACATAATCCATTGCAATTCCTTTTTTTCCCCTTTCACTTCAAATACTCTGAAGAAGTTGATTTAAAAGATTTAATACAGTCTTATTATCAATCTGTTAAATCAAACCCTGGTTTGGGTCTAGAATTGAATTACATTTCGTTTTTACCCCTAATGGAATCCTGTGACTTTGCAAAGTGTACCTACTTTAAGCAAAAATGCCAGTCTGATTTCAAAATGTTCCAGGATAATGCAATCTTGCTACGTGGTTCCATTTTCAGTTCAACATCATTTTATCACATGGAAGTGAAGCCAACAGATTGTTTTCAGTAGGAAAATCTTCTGCATTCAAAAATAAATTGAGTTCTTCTGGAAACTAAGCCTGTGTTAGACAAGTAGAGCTTTCCCTCGTCTCTCTTCCTGAATTTGAATCATTTAAACTTAAGGCTACTAAGAAGAAATGTGATATAACTTCTGTGTATTTTTATGTAAAGAGAAGTTTGTTTTTAGAAGCCCTGGGTAGCCAGAAAGGGTAATTGTAAATAGGATTAGCTCTGTCACAACTCTGAAGTCAACAAGCATAGATGCCTCTGGCTTTGGAAGTTTGTTTTTACGTGGGTAAGATGGATGTAATAGTAAACTGCGGAATAATCAGAATAATCCTCATTACTAGCTGAAATCTTCAACAGAGAGTTTCAGGAGAAAGGCTAACATAGATCGGAAGAAAGTCAACATTCTGGGAGTAGTACCCAACTTATGGGCAGCTTGTGTTCCAAAGATCAATTTATCAATTTTCTGTTTAGGTCAGTGTTTTCTTTTAACTGGAGTGATTTTGATCCCTAGGGAATATATGGCACTGTCTGGAGATAGTTCTCATTGTCCACAAAGTAGGAGGGAGGAGTGGGGAGGCAAAGGTGCTACTATTATCCAGTTGGTAGAAGCCAGGGATGCTGTTAAACATTCTGCAATGTTCAAGACAGTCTCCACAACAAAGAATTATCTGCCCCAAATGTCCATAGTTGCTGGGGTTGAGGAAACCTAGCATAAGTTTCCAATTTGGATCTGGAATTGCTTTTTCCCATGTGACATTATAAATAATGACAATATTCCTACTGCAGAGGGGTATTTTGGCAAATATGGCTATCTATCCACCAAAATCTATTCTTATATATTCCATGATGTACTGTTATAACTTCATAAACTATATTTTCTATAGCAGCTCTTGCAGCTAGGTACAGCCACGTGACTGGTTCTGACCAGTAAAATGAGAGCAGAAATGGTGTGAGTCACTTCTGGTCCAAGGCTTTTAAGCAGCAGCTTCTTATCCTTGGCTTTCTTTCTCCTTTCACCAGCTGCAAATCATGAAGTGGTTCCCAAACATAAGCTATATCAAAATCACCTGAAGGGCTTCTTCAATTTTTTTTTTTTTTTTTCCCCCTCCCCCCGCCGCCCCCTCCCGCCACCCAGATTTCAGGGCTCTATTCTGAGAGTGTCTGACTCAGGAGGTTCGTGGTAGGTCTGAGAAGCTGCATTTCTGACAAGCTGCCAGGTGATGCCAAGACTGCTGCTCCATGGACCACACTTCTAGAATCCTTGTCTTAGGGAGTTCTGAAGTCGTAAGATGGAAGCAGCCTTGTTATATTTGAATCACCGCCTGTAGGAGGGGCATCCCCCAAACCCCACCCAGTTCCATTGTTACATCAACCCTGGCTTGTGACATGAGCCAGAAAGCAATGGCTACTGTGATTAAACTGTTGAAGTTTGGGAGTCTGTGTGTCACAGAAGCTTATATTATCCTATGGTTCTGCGTCAACCTATGCAATGTGTCTCTGTAGAATCACAGACTATTTTTTAACAGCTGAGGAAGCAGGTGCTGGGAGAGCACCTATCCCAGGTTATCCCTATTGACTCACCTGTGACAAAGCACAAAAATCATAGTTAGAGTAAGAATGTGAGTTCTAAGGACAGTTGAAGAAAATCTCCTTCGGCTTCCCTAGGCAAAGGGTCAATCCCAGGCAATGTGTTCAGCGGGTGTTCAGCCTCTTGCCCACTCCCTAACTTTCTGTGGCTTTCTCTCGCTCTAGCTCTGCCCCTTTCTCCAGCATCACTGGCACTTGGGGCCTTCATTTGGCTCCAAGTTCTCCCCAAGCCACCCTAATCTAAAGTGATGTTTTTGACTCTCCAGTGGAAACTTCCATCTCCTTGGGCAGCCAGAATGAGCTTCATGCCAGGAAGAAGGCAATTGGAAGAAATCTGTTAAGGAAGGGTAGCTCACAATCCTTCCTGAGAGGAGTGCATTTTAAATACTTGTTAACACACATGCTTTCACTTCGACTTGTGGCATTTAAAACAGCTTCAAGAAAGTGCAGTGAAATGTTTCAGCCACTGTAGGAAATGTGGTGCGAGTGACCAGGTTCCTCTAAAAGGAGGGGAAGCCTGTGAATGACAGGCAGGGCACACACTTGCCCTGGGGTCTCCTCCTTCCCTCACATGGAACCCCCAGTTCTCGAAGGTGCTTCTGGAGCAGTCTTCCAGGCAGAGTCAGCAGGAGGCTGGGAGGTGGGGCTAGGATCCTGCCCTACTCACAGAGGCTTGGTCAGTCTGGGAAGGACTTGGCTGACAAAGCAGCATTTGAACCTCTCCAATATATCAGAACTAATGATGAAAATTCTTAAATTCCTTAATGACCCTATGGATGGATACTTAGCACAAGGCATTTTAAAGTGTAACTGCTTCTTGCTCATTTGCACATATAATTTATTTGAGTCAATCTTATTGACTTCTTTTGAACTCTATCCACAAAACCTGAGGGCAGAATTAGAGGGATTTGTGCCTGGCACAGATAGACTAATTTTTTGAACATGGTTTGCTTGTGTTAATAGTTTTCTAAGGTTTCGTCTACCCAATGCCAACACAAGCAAGCAATTAATAAATAAATTCAGGCAGAATACAGGGAAAATAATGTAGTCTATTTGTTTGCCTCTGTGGACATGTTAATTTGGTTAAAACTATCAGATACTTGTGATATCTGTGACACTTTGGATATCCTAAAAATCTAAATGTACACAGAAGGCTCCTGAACACAGGGAGAGGTGACACACATTCTGGACTGTCTCCTTTTATTACTCAGTTCTCTCAGAGGCTGGCATGTTCCTGTTGTCTGCACCACCTCAATACGTAGGACGGTCTGATTATCCACAAGATCTCGCTAGTGTTTCACACTCAATAAATGTCTAAGCAGATTGTGACAATTTATATGTGTGAACTTGTTGGGGTGGGGGCACAATATATTTTACTCACAGTAACTGGTATTTTGAGTCGCAACATTTTTTATTTGTTTATTTTTATTTTTAGAGACAGGGTCTCACTCTTGCCCAGGCTGGAGTGCAGTGTGTGATCATAGTTCACTGCAGCCTCCCACTCCTGGGTTCAAGTGGTCTTCCCAACCTCAGCCTCCTGAGTAGCTGGGAGCCCAGGTGAGCACCACCTCCCCTGCCTAATTAAAAAAAAATTTTTTTTGTAGAGATGGGGTCTTGTTTTGTTGCCCAGGCTGGTCTCAAACTCCTGGCCTCAAGCAATCCTCCCACTTTAGCCTCCTGAAGTGCTGGGATTATAGGTGTGAGCCAACATGCCAGGCTTGAGTTACATGTTTTGTTTCATGTATTGATGCCAGGAGTAAGTCACTGCTGGAACTAAAAGTAAAATATCAATGATTGTCCTTAAATGGAGGGAAGAGAGCAGGAGCCATGGGCCTTTGTCTTTTACAGGGATGTCACTAATGATTGTCCTTAAATGGAGAGAGGAGAGCAGGAGCCATGGGCCTTTGTCTTCTACAGGGATGTCACTAGCCCTTAGCTTTTACCTCAGGCTGTCCTCAGCAGTGATTTGACAGTCAAACCTTCTTTGGAATAAAACTCTCAGTCTCTGATAGAATGTTTTCATGACACCAGGTGTGAGATTGAGTCCTATCTCTATGAAAGCACTAAAGGCTGTCTTGTCATCTCTGGTGGTTAAAGAAAGTAAAAGAAACTCCCATTGTGAGTATCTCCTAGGTGGTAGTCCCTGTGCCAGGCATATTTTACATGTAGATTCTAGTTTGGTTTTCAACACTGACCATTTAAGGTAAGTATTAATATCCCCATTTTACAGCCTAGGGCACTGAGGTTTGAACGGGTTTAATCACACAGTTCCAGGTGGCTGAGCCAGCTTCAAAGCCTGAATTCACTGTACTTCATCAAAACAGTAGTTCCCATCTAAAAAATATTGTGGTGTGCCAAATAGCAAAACCTAACTGGCTGGTTAAAAATGCAAGAGCAGGTAATTTTTATCGTAAATTTATTCTGGAGCAAAGTGAAGAATGATAATGCTTGGACTTAATAATGGGAGAAAACAAGTGTATGGGGCAGGCCACAGTTCTAAGCTATTTCTCAGATATTCTGAATTCATCATAATCACATAACCTTTTCTCAGCATTGGAGACTGTGAGGACTTAATGGGATCTGCAATTCATATGGGTCTACTATACTTGTCTGCTTCGTCACAGCAATGCTGCTTGTGGTTATTCATTATCCGAGATGACTTTTCCTTGTGATTGCTTGACACAGTTGTTAAAACATTTTTTTTGTGGCTCATTTCCTGCATAAGCTGGTTAACCCTATCCCATCTGGAGACCTCAGAAGACCTACTCCCATAGCTTTGCTCACTAATGCCTGCTCCAAGCTGCGTGGGGCACCACCTGGGAGAGATGAGGGCTTGGTGGAAGTTCGTCTTCTTAAATGGAGAAAGTCCTGACCTCTGCCCGGTTAGCTGTTAGTGGCCTTGTACTGGTGAGGAAGAGGCAGTGGCATAATTAAAGACACAAATATGCCTAGGGTAGGAAGGAGATGTAGCATGGGAAGGTAAAAGAACACTGGACTCTAGGCAAAGGGGCTGCAAAGAGGTAAGCTTGGACAAAGGATTCCTGACAGTGTGATGGTATCAAATGGGCTAAATCAAGGGAGGGAAGGAAAGAAAAGTCCAGCTTTTAGAGGAGCCCAGACTCTCAGCTAACTCTTGTAGATAAATTTAAAGAAATCTTTTTTCCTAAGCTGAAGTTGAGTTTAGCCTGATTCTTGACTGAGTGAAATGTACAACTTTAGTTGGGTATATCATTCATTCACCTATTTATATACCAAATATTTATAGAAGCCTACTCACCTTCAAGTAGCGTGCTGGGTGCTTAGGTGTAGAGATAAGCATTTTGGATTCACTAAGCTTCCAGTCTAGAGGGAGTATGGGCAGGCAAACTAAAAATCATGGTACAGCTTGATGACTACTAGGGGAGGAGAAGTATTGGGTGCTATGGAAACAGATGAGAATGATACAAACCCAGACCAGAGAAGTTACAAAGGCTTGTTATCAGAAGGGATGTCTAAACTGAGATCCAAAGAATGAAACAAATAAAGTGAGTGAGGGTGGGTGGATGTGGAAAGGGTTCCAGGCATAAGGAGAGCCTGAGTGAATAGGGAGGAAGACCTTAGCATGCTGAAGGAACCACAAGAAATTCAATAACTAGATAAGCAGCATTATGCTGATCAGATGGCAAATGGAAGAACAAGAGGCAAGGCTGGCATCTAGGAGGGTCTAAAGCCAAACAGAATGAGATGGGAGAAATGTATTGAAGAGAGAGGTTCAGAAGAAAAACCATGAATTGAGATTATGTTCTGAAACATGCTTCTCAAACTTCCATGTGCACATGAATTACCTAGGGATCTGTTAGAATGCAGATTTGGATTCAGGGCTTCTAATAAGCTTCTAAGGGATGCCATAGCTGCTGGCCTAAGGACCACACTTTTGGATATCAAGGATCAAGACAGCATGGAAGTGTCCCCTTTACATGGGGACTGGTAATTACTGTGGGACGGTCCTGGTAGCTTAATGGAGTTCCATTAGCCTGGATAGTCATAGACATGGATTCTTATTTCTAGGCACTGCTGAAACAATGACCTTGGTTCTTCACTTGAGTTCCATTTATGTTTCCTTTCTGGCTGTCATTGATGTCTGCTGGATAAGGTCACTTTGGGATCAAAGTGTCAAATTGGATTCTCACCATGGCTTGATCAGTTGGTCACCCAAAAGACACTGGGAAAGGTGGTCTACACCTTGGCAGGGGCTCTTAAAAACTGTGCTTCTATAGAACACTGGGGTTCCATGAGCTGCAGAACAGTGCTCCACAAAACTTGAGTAGCAATGGCAGCCTTTTCACAACTGAGAGGGGAAAAAATACATGTTCATGAAAAAATTTTCTTAAAGTTTGTCTTCCATGCCTTTTTCTTAATCCTTTGGTGTCAGCAGCTATTTGAATGTGAACGAGTGCTAGTGCACAACAAAATGAGTCAGGAACATTAATAGCACAGCTTGGCAACAGTTAGTGCTGCTGTTTCATGGTTATGTGAGCTCATGGATGAAGTTTTGTATAAATCCATGTACTGTGGTGACATTTTACCGGTTAAAACTTCTCGTAGTTTTTGTGATAGGACATATTGGGGTTTCAATGCCTTCTCAAAAGTGCAGCAGAAGTCAATGAATTTGAGAAACAGTGTTCGCTGACATATCATCTGGCTCCTACAACCTTCCCAGGTGCTTTCCTAAACTCCCTCCTTGTTAGACAAGCTCAGCAGCTCTGCACCCTGGCTCTTTAGCTCAGGAGTTCACAGTACCCAAGTCACAGTGGTTTCAGGAAGGCTGCCAGGGCTAAGTTGGGCTTGGCATTTCCCCTCCTTCCAGCAACTCCTGGTTCTTATTTAGTTTTAAATTAAATAAAAATTGCAGCACATAGATTTGAGTTAAAACAAGTGGACTGATCTTTGTAATATGCACCACATCAACAGGAAAGCTAATTTGTGCAAAGCACATCTCCTCCTTTAATTTAAACAACAGAGTGTTGCCTTTTTGGTTTCAAGGGAACTGAGAGCTGAGGCGGGGTTGTTCACTCGTGGCATTAACTAGGGCTATGCTCAAGGGCAAGAGGAACAGTTTCAGGGGCGCTTAGCATTCCTCTTAAGCCCTTTGTGCTGAGTGTCACACGATATAGCAGAGCAGTTATGACCTCCTGGCCTTGAATTTAAAGAAGGTCTTAAAAATGTCTCAGGGTAAGCTCCCCTAATCAACTCTTAACTGCATTGGAGACACCCAGATCAGAATTTGCATTATTAAAAACTTCTCAAGACAGAGGAGACAGATTCCTGACGTTGACACCCATGTGGCATTTTCATGTTCCTAGTCGTCATGTGTGTAGACGATTAGTCTACAGAAAGTAAATCAGGTGGGATTCATGCCAGGTGAGAAATTCAGTGTGGACCCTGATAGTCACTTCATTCAGTTTCATTGGCTTTAGAGGTAATGGGTGGAGGTGGGGGTGGAGTGTGGCAGTAGGGTCATCCATGAACAATGTGAGCTTTACTCAAAAACATTACTGAACTGGATCCATCTACATAGCTTCAAGCTCTTGCTTCAATGCTCACTAAAGGCCTTTCTCACCACCATGAGATGAGTCAGAAGTAGCTAAATCTTTCTTAAACTGTCACCTCCAGGTGCATCCAGATTTGGAGGCAGGTCTGCCTCAGGTTTTGTGGGGCCTGAAGCTTATAAATTTTGAGGCCTTTTTAAAGAAAAATAATACAAAATATCTTACTTATGCAAACTTTATATGCTCATCAGAACACACTGGTAGGGCTCCTCTCAGGATCTTGGACAGGGCCACGTGAAAGGGATCCTAAAGCTTAAGTTTATTAACTTCACAGAGAATCCACTTCTGCTTGGAAAGCTTCTCTGCCCAGTGCCAAAAAGGCATTAAGAAGTTGAGGGTAAAGAAAATGGACAACCATTTATCATATGGTAGGTGTCACTGACCAAGACAGAAATTTTAGGTTCTTATTTGATCTTTGAACCCCTGAGGTGTGCTGCCTTACTGAATCAAACCTGAGCCAAGCCCAGCTTTCTCTTAAGGGCAGGGCCCTCATCTTTGTCTTGTTCGCACAAATACCTACCCAAGAAAGTGCATCAATAAATGTCTGCTGAATGAATGACTATCTGGATGACTGTGAATGAGGAAATATAGAAATAAATTCACACTCCTTTTTTAGACTGAGTGTCATTGTTTACCTTCTCCAAAGAACTCTTTGCAAAATGTTTTGAGCTATGTGAAGAAAGGCTTCATCTAAACTTATTCATGAAGCAGGCCAACTAGATTGTGTCAGAGGGCTACTAAAGTCATTCTCTTATTGGATGAAAAAATACTCTAGTCATAATTAAGAAACATTAAACTATATTTATAATCAAATATTCTTTAAGGGGATTGGCTTTTTCTTCTGGGTTGAGTGGGTTTTGCTCTCACGCACCCAGAAAAGGCCAGACAGTGTGTTGTTTGATCTATTTTGTTAACCTTCTCCTCTGGCTTATGTTACCTTAAGTTGACCTTTCAAGTGCTTTGTCTTCTGGCAAATATATTTAAAACTTTAGGACCTAAGTAATGTATAGCTATCAGAATTCATGCAGAAAATCAAAGCTGAGTCTGGAGCATTCTCTTTTGAAGAGAAATACCACCCTGCGTGTGATGACCTCACCTGATTCATCACCTGATACCTGATGGGGGTCAATGGGTGCAGAGAAGATCCTGAGCCTAGGGCTGGGAGCGGGTGTTGTCCACATATTGGCTTTGCTGTGAACTGGATGGGGGTCAGGTTTGCATGAGGGACATGTTAGACATGCTGGGGTTGGCCTGGATTAGAAAGGACATGATTTTGATTTAACTTTTGTTCTCATGACTTTGAAGGTAAATCTGAGGTTGTGTCATGTAGATGAGAAGTTTCTAAGTTCAAAGTCGAGAGGCCTGGGTTCAACTCAGGGTTAAGAGATTGTGAGCAAGATACACAAACTCCCCATGTCTCATTGTTATTATTTTTTAATCTGTAAAAAGAGACCAATAATGGGATGCTGGGAACATGGTAGAGTAGGAAGTACCAGAAATTTGTTTCCCTACCTAGACAACTATTACACTGGCAGAATTTGTATGATGTAACTATTTTGGAATTCTGGAGTATATTGAAGGATTGCAACTTCTAGGAGAAGGCTTGGGAAGTAATTGTGGTTTATTTTGGTCAATTATAGTTCTTAGCATAGTAGCAAGTCTTCCAACCTTCACCCTTCAGCCCTGTGGCAGGCAGCTGTGCCAAGTGTTCCTGGAGCAGCTTGCAAACTGTTTGCAGGAGCCGGGGTGAGCAAAAAGGACTCTGTTCTCCAAATATCAAAAATCTGTGTTCTGATCACTGATGCTGGTTCTGATCAAAGAGATGCAGACAAAATCGCCACCATTGTTGTTGCACCTCCCCTTACTGGGAAGCTCCTCCCCTTGGCTGAAGTGATTGTCAGGAGATTTAAAGGGCCAGGACCCTTTTAATTTTTTTCACCTTCGATTTTCTTTTTCTCCACCTTCGATTTTCTTTTTCTCCTTTTGGGGGCCTGACATTAAATATTAGGTCATTAAAAAATAACTACATACACAGAGAAATTAGGAGGTGACTTTGCAAGCCCAAGGAAAGGCATGGACTTAGAAAAGACCTGAGGAGACCTTATGTTTCTATCTCAGGCTGATTCCCAGAACAGAGACAGTCTACAACAACAAAATTAACAAGAATAAACAAACAAACAAACAAAAACCCAAATCCAGAAAACCCTGGGAAAGGGGAAATTTGCTTTCCAGAGTTACCATAATATTAGACTCAAATGTCAAGTTTTTAACAAAAAATCACAAGGTATACAGAGAAACAGGATAGTATGGCCATTCAAAGTAAAAAAAATAACAGAAACTATCCCTGAAAAAGACGTGATGGCAGATATACTAGACAAAGACTTTTAAGCGGACTTCAAAACAACTGTCTTAAAGATGCTTGAAGAACTAAAAAGAATATGTTGAGAAAGTTAAAAAAAAAGATATATGAACAAAAAGGAAATACCAATAAAGAGAGAGACATGAATATAAACACCCAAGAAGCTTCATGAACTCCAAGTAGATGAACTCAAAGAGATGCGGACTGAAACACTTTCAAAGTTTTTAAAGAATGTTGAAAGTACCAAGAGAGAAGGGACTCACACATATAAGGGATCCTTAACAAGATTATCAGCAGATTTCTCATCAGAAACTTTGGAGGTCAGAAGGCAGTAAGCTGATATAGTCAAAACGCTAAAAGAAAAAAATAAAAAACAAAAACAAAAACAAAAACCACTTGTCAACCAAGATTTCTATATGTGGCAAAACTGTCCTTCAAAAGTGAGGGAGAAATTAAGGCATTCCCAAGTAAACAAAAGTTGGGGAGGTTTCATTATCATTGAACCTATCCTTTAAGAAATCCCTCAAGAGAGTCCTGCAGGGTGAAATGAAATAATACTAAGTAGTAACTTGAGCCATATGAAGAAACAGAGAACTCAGTAAAGGTAAATCCATGGACAATTAAAAAGCTAGTATTATTGCATGGTTTGTAACTTCACTTTTTCTTTTCTATGTGATTTAAGAGATGAATACATTAAAAAAATTATCAGTATAAGCACTAATATTATAACTTTGGTTTATAACTCCACAGTTTATTTTCTACATAATTTAAGAGACTAATGCATATTAAAGAATTATTAGTTTGTATTTTTGGGAACACAATGTATAAAGATATAATTCTGTAACATCAACAGCCAAAAGGGGTGGGGACAGAGTTGTAAAGGAGGCAGAGTTATTGTATGTTTTTCATGTTAAGCTGGGGTAAATTTAAATTAGAATGTTACAGCTTTAGGATCTTAAGTGTAATCTCCATGGTAACCACAAAGAAAATAGCTATAGAATATATACAAAAGAAAGGAATAAAGGAATTTAAACATTTCACTGCAAAGAATCAACTAAACACAAAAGGCAGTAGTGCAGTAAATGAGGGACAAGAATGCTGTAAGGTATATAGAAAATATATTTCAAAATGACAGAACCTCTTTCTTACCAGTAATTACTTTAAATGTAAATGTATTAAACACTCTAATCAAAAGACAAGTTTGGCAGAATGGATGAAAACATATGATCCAGCTATATGCTGTCTAAGGAGACTGATTTTAGGTCCAATGACACAAACAGATGAGAGTAAAAGGCTAGAAAAAGATATTCCATGAAAATACTGACCAAAAAACAGAAGGGAGTAGCTATACTAATATCAGACAAAATAGATTTTAAGTTAAAAACATTTACAGAAGACAAAGATTAATAAAAGTTCCAGTACTGCAAGAAGATATAACAATTATAAACAATTATAAACATTTACATACCTAATGACAGACCACCATAACATATGAAGGAAAAACTGACAAAATTTAATGGAGAAATAGACAATTCTACAATAATAGTTGGAGACTTAAATATACCACTCTCAATAATGAACATAATAGCCAGATAGAATGTAAGTAAGGGAATAGAAAACAGTATGATAATCCAACTAGATCTAACAGACATATACAGAACAATCTACCCAACGACAACAACATACACAGTCTTCTCAAGTGCACATGAGACATTTTCCAGGATAGATCATACATTAGGGAACACATTAAGACTTCCTAAAAGATTTAAAAAGATAGGACAACAGTGGAAGTTAGAAATCAATAACAGATGTAAAACTGGAAAATTCATGCATATATGGAAATTAAATAACATACTTTTAAATAATCAATGGATCAAGAATAAAATCAGAAGAAAAATTAGAAAATACTAAGAGGTGAATGATAAGAAAACACAACATACCCAAACTTATAAGACATAGTGAAAACAGTGCTAAGACTTACTTTAAACACTTACATTAAAAAACAAGAACAATCTCAAATCAAGAACCCAACAACCTAACTTCACAACTTAAATAAACAAGAAAAAGAAAAACAAATTAAACCCAGAGCTAGAAGAAAGGAAAGAATAAAGATTAGAGATAAATAGAATAGAGAATAGAAAAATAATAGAAAAAATAAATGAAACAAAAAATGTTTCTTTGGAAAGAGCAATAAAATTGACAAACCTTTAACTAGATGGACTAAGAAAAAAGAGAGAAGATTCAAGTTACTAAAATTAGAAATAATAGTGGTGACTTTACTACCAATTCTAGAGAAATAACAAGAATTAGAGAATAACAAGAATAAGAGAGCACTATGAACAATTTTATGCTAACAAATTGAATAATCTATATGAAATGGATACCTTCCTAGAAATACAAAGCTTACCAAGATTAAAGCATGAAGAAATGAAAAATCTGAATTAGACCTACAACTAATAAGAAGATTCAATCAGTAATCAAAAATCTCCTCACAAAGAAAAGCTCCGGACTTCATGGTTTCACAGGTGATTTCTGCCAAACATTTAAAGAGAAACTAATACCAACCCTTCACAAACTTTTCCAAAAACCTGAAGAGGAGGAAGCAATTCTTATCTCATTCCATAAAGCCAGCATTACTCTGATATCAAAGTCAGAGCAAGACACAATAAGAAAACCACAGACTGCTATTCCTTATGAACATAAATGCAAAATTCTCAACAAAAAACTAGCAAATTGAATTCAGTAGCATATTAAAAGAACTATACACCATGACCAAGTGAGATTTGTTCCCGGAATGCAATGTTGTGTACAACACGCAAAAATCAATGAGTGTAATACACGACATTAACAGCATGAAGGAGAAAAGTACATGATCACCTCAATTGATGCAGAAACATCATTTGATAAAATTTAACATTTCATGATAAAAAAAACAACCAACTAGGAATAGAAGGAAACTATCTTAACATAATAAAAGCTGTATATAAAATAAAAGCAAATATCATACTCAATGGTGAAAGACTAAAGTCTTTTATTCTAAGGTCAGGAATAAGACAAAAATGCCCACTTTGACCACTTCTATTTAACATTATACTAGAAATTCTAGCCAGAGCAATTAATCATGAGAAAGAAATAAAGGTATTCAAACTGAAAAAGAAGTAAAATTATCTCTGTTTACAGGTAATATAATTTTATATGTAGAATTTCCTAAAGATTTCACAAAAAACCTGTTAAACCTAATAAATGAATTAAGCAAAGTAGCAAGACATAAAGTCAACATGCAAAAATCAATTGCATTTTTATACACTCACAGTGAACAATCTAAAATTAAAATTATGAAAATAATTCCATTCACAATAGCATCAAAAATATTAAAATACTTAGGAATTAACTTAACCAAGGAGGTGAAAGACTTATACAGTGAAAACTACAAAACATTACTGAAATAAATTAAAGAAGAAATAAATAAAGGGAAACATCCTATGCTTATGGATTAGGAGACTTAATATTGTTAAGATGTTAATACAACCCAAAGTAATCTGCAAATTCAATGCAGTCCCTATCAAAATCCCAATGACATTTTAAAAGAAATAGTAAAACCTATCCTCAAATTAATACAGATATTTAAGAGGCCCCAAATAACCAAAACAATCTTGAAAAAGTACAAAGCAGAAAGACCCATATTTCCAAATTTCAAAACTTACAATAAAGCTACAGTAATCAAAGCAATGTCATATATAAAAATTAACTCAAATGGATAAAAAAATGTAAGGCCTAAAACTATAAAACTCTTAGAAAAAGAATAGGACAAAAATGTCACAACATTGGATTTGGCAATAATTTCTTAGCTAGGACTCTAAAAGCACAGGCAACAAAAGAAAAAATAGACAAATTAAATTTCTTGAAAAATTTAAAAAATATTGTGCATCAAAATACAGTGTAAACAGAGTAAAAAAGGCAGCTCATGGAATGGAAGAAGATATTTGCAAATGATATGTCTGATAAAGGATCAGTATTCAGGAAATAGAAAACTCCTATAACTCTATGACAAAAGATCCCATTTAAAAAATGGCTTAAGACTTGAATAGAAGTTTCTCCAAAGAAAATACACAAATGGCTAGTAAGCTCATGAAAAAATGCTTAGCATCACTATTAATGAAGGAAATGCAAATCAAAAGGGCAATGAGCTATTACTTCATACCCATTGGGATGACTACCATAAGAAAAAGAAACAGAAAATAATTTTTGGCCAGAATGTGGAGAAATAAGAACATTTGGGCACTGTTGGTAGAAATATAAAATGGTAAAGTTACATTAAAACACAGTATGGCAGCTTCTCAAAACATTCAAAATAGAATTACTATATGACCCAGCAATTCTACTTCTGGGTATATATTGAAAGGAATTCACAGACAGGTTTTGAAGAGGTGTCTGTGTACCCATGTTTACAGCAGCATTGTTCACAATAGCTAACATGTGAAAGGAACCCAAGTGTCCACTGATAGATGAATAGATAAGTAAAATGTGATCTATACATGCAATGAATATTATTCAGCCTTTTTAACAGGAAGGAAATTTTATAATATGCTATAACATGGATGAACCTTGAGGATGTCATGCTAAGTGAAATAAACCAATCACAAAAAGACAAATACTATATGATTCCACTTATATGAGGCTCCTAAAGTGGTCAAAATCAAAGAGACAGAAAGAATGGTGGCTGCCAGGAATTGGGAGGAGGGGGAATGAACTGTTCAATGGGTATAGAGTTTCAGTTTTACAAGACGAAAAGAATTATGGAAGTGGACAGTGGTGATGGTTGCACATTTCGAATGTATTTAATAACACTGAACTGTATTCTTAAAATGGTTATGATGGGAAATTTTATGTTATTGTATTTTACAACAATAAAAAAATGAAAAAAAAGAGAGAACAATAATGGCTATCCCATCTTGCTGTGGCTATGAGTCTCAAAACAGTGCCAATGAAAGGGCTCAGGAAGGTGTAAAGTGACTTTTGAGCGTGGTATCAATGATTCCTTTACATAAATATGTAACATTACCATCTCTTCATTTGAAAGCTAAGAAGACAGCTTTTTAGTGAAAAATCCAATGTTCTTTCCACCATGTAAAAGAGTACTATCAATATTAACTTTTATTAAAAATGACGTTAGAAATATAAAGAAGAAACTCAATCTCTTTGATGTTCAGATTCATTTCAATGTGAAAAGTGTACGAAACAAAAATCCAGTCAAATACATAAAATAAGTGCACCTCGGCCCAAGATGATTGTGCCCTTGAGTTCAAGCTGATAAGCTGTAACTAACGGTGCCAATGCCAGCAGATGATATGGATGCTCAGTATGGAAAACACTGGGTCGCATTCTCTGGACATCAGAGTCATATGTAGGTAGGTGTCCTGAAAATTTGGTATGCTGTCTTTTTAATGATAGGAACTGGCTGATTGGCATTCTCATGAATTAAACTAATAATTTCAACCCCATTAATATGATAGGGTTATTGTTTTTCTTCCAGAGGGTAAGGATGCTTTAGAATAGGGCCAGATAGTAATATTTTATTTTTTATGAACTATATGATTATATATAGTTCACAACTCTGCCACTGTAGTGCAAAAACAGCCGTAGACAGTAAGTAAACAAATGGGTTGGGATGAGTTCCAACTTAATAATATTAATAAAATAGCCATGGATCAGTTTTGATTCAAGAGCCATAGTTTGCTGACTCCTGGCTTTAGAATATCATAGAAATAAATTCTGGACCTCCTCACATCCCCTGGCTGTACACATCATATTATTGGCCTCTACCAGGTTTTAACGCAGCTCCAATACTACCGTTAAACAAACTTAGAAGGTGCGAAAGCCTGGAGAAACCATCAAGACAGGTGGCCATTTGGGCAGACACTTCACAACCTAACATGATTATCTAAGGCCTTATATTTTTCTCAAAGCATTGTTTGTCAAATAAAGCAATGTTTAAAATGTAATATTGAAGCTTTGAAAATAAGCTGCTATTCTCCAGAGTAAAGTTACTGATGTTTTGATGGGAAAGAAGGAAAAGTGCTTTCCAATTCCCAGAAACGTTTTGAAAAAATGCAACCCAATGCTGGCTTCCCATTTATGAGTGCTCAAGTTTACCTTTTGCTTTCTCATAATAAAAGTCAACTCATTGCCAAAGTTTATTACTGTTCTAAGTCAAAAATCACCTACCACTTGGCCGGGTGTGGTGGCTCAAGCCTGTAATCCCAGCACTTTGGGAGGCCGGGGCGGGTGGATCACAAGGTCAGGAGATCGAGACCATCCTGGCTAACACGGTGAAACCCCGTCTCTACTAAAAATACAAAAAATTAGCCGGGCGTGGTGGCAGGCGCCTGTAGTCCCAGCTACTCAGGAGGCTGAGGCAGAAGAATGACATGAACCTGGGGGGCAGAGCTTGCAGTGAGCCGAGATCACACCACTGCACTCCAGCCTGGGCGACAGAGCGAGACTCCGTCTCAAAAAAAAAAAAAAAAAAAAATCACCTACCACTCCAACTTCTCACCTTCCTTATGACTCTCTCTCTCTTACCCTAACATGTCTGGAAATGTAAGGAAGTACTGTCAGAGGCCTTCAGTAGGGCAAATTTAATTTTGTATCTCCATTTGTCTGTATTTGAATCAATGACTCACTCTCAGCTTGGGAGCTGCCCCTTTTACCGTATGGACCAGGCTAGGATGGCACTGAAGGCAAAACAAGCCTTTTACTGCTTTCAGAAATGTGGATTTTGAGACACTTGGTTGGGTTTAGGTGGAATCTCACAGACCTGGGTTCAAGAATACATTTGTTCTTGACCAAGTTTCATAACCTTTTTGAGATCCTGAACCTCAGTTTCTTCATCTACAAAATGTGTTAATACTTGCTTCACAGGATTAATTAAAAAATAGTGAGTGGCAAATAGCAAGTGCTAATAAATGTTCATTTCTCTCACTTTTTCTATATGCCCCTATGTACCCTAAATTGTATTTGTTCATGCTGATAGCAGGTTTTATTGTAAACTCTCATGTATCCCCCAATAACTGCCTCTGAGTACATTGTAAGTGTACAGCTACATAGGAATCACGTAAGGATCTCTGCAAAAGGTCTTTGAACAGGGAAAGACTGAAGGTAGGAAAATTAATTGACTAAAGATAAACCATAATCTCCAGAGCTTTCAAGGTCAGAAAATTCATTTGGTTTATTTTCTTTTGGAAAGGAGCCTTGAGGTATGGTTTAAGCAATTAGAACACAAATGTCTTGAGAACAGAGACCTTGTCAGTTTCATCAATCAGTGCCCAGAACTCATCTCAGGCACCTGGTGAGTGCTCAATTAATATTCGTTTTCTCAACTAACAACTGAGCATACTTAGGTCTGATTTGCTTTTGTATTAACTGTGAGGAGTTTCTGGAGCTTTGCATAAGGAAGGAGCAGGGATTTTATGGAGAAGGAACACTGGATAAGGGGCATTGGATAAGAGTGGCACCATTTACACACTATTTACCCTGAGCATGCAATTTATGAAATTATAATTCAAATTCCCCAGTATGAAAAATTGATCTGAAATGGGTCAGAGGAAAGTCCAATGTCCACTCTAGGCCAGTTTCTGACCAGATATGATACCTTGAAGCCATACCAATAAGATTCCCTCTAACTTCATTTCCCACTTGGAAAGAGAAATCCTGCTGTTGCTCAGCACTTACGGAGAATCAGCATAGTGTTAGGTACAATGGGATAAAGAGAAGTTGTTTCCCCAAAAGGGTTCTAAATTTTCTCATGGTTTTTCATGTTCTGTAAAATTGTGAGAAAACCAGCAGCACTAACATATAACATAGTTCACATACCTGAAAACATCATCATGTGCTGAAAGTTCCAGGGGATCTTCTGTTTTCGGCCTAGATTCAGGAGGAAGGAGAGGGGATATATGTTGCAGGCTCTGGCAACAAAAATTGCTAGCTGTAGATAAGCACAGGGAAACATTGAGGAAAGTGTTGCTGCAATGATGGTTTGAATCCTTGAGCTTAAATATTATGTCCTCAAGCTTCTCTTCATTATGACCCCAAAACCAGAAATAAACATGTCAATTCACATTTGTCCAACTTGCTTCCAAAATTTATATTTCAAAGTCAAGTTCTTCCCAGAAATAATAGAGAACTCTGCCTTTCTTTGATACTTGCTTTAAAATTGTTAGCCCAATACCAATTCAATCACTGTAAATTTTCTAATCACATTTATATTGCTGATGACTGACTATCCTCAATTCTGCTGTAAAATGTGAGGCAGAGACCATTCAGATGCTGTGGCATTATCTTCCCAAGTGGTACTTTAGAAAGGATAAATGTGCTTCTGTTCATGTTTACCATCTTCCTTCTTATCAGTTTATATTTCCTATATCTAGCAAGCTTTGCATACCTTTTTCTTTGGTGAATTAATTTTGAGAGGAATTACCTGTCTAATTACATAATACAACTGTTGCTTTATCTGGCAATTTCCTAAAATAAAAGTTTATAAGTAAAAGTCTTTGAAAATATTGGCGCTCTTCATCTTTCCCTTTTTGTTGTCTTTGACTCCTTCCCCGATGGGCTATTCTAGTTTGTCCTCAATGGGACGGAGTTATTTGGCAAGAGTTAACTTCCTTTTAAAATCCAGGTTTTGGATGAAATTTTAGGGTTCAGCTGAATGCTCAATGAAAAGAGACTAAGAAGCAAATGCAGATGTTTAATTGGAACACAGTTTATAGAGAGGGATTGCCTCTGCTGGCTGTTCGGATTATCTGTGATCCAAGGTGGCATCTGCCCATCTTCCAAGTGGGAAGAAGGACAACAGTTGCTGACTGCCTTTGGGGACATTCCTAATGGCTCAACATCCTTTCAGATAGATATCCATTCCCACTGGAAACACCTCCTGTCCCAGGCCTAGAGCTAGGAAAACCCCCTGCATTAAAAGTGGGGTCTAGATTTCATCTGTCTTCATAGGAAAGGAAGGGTGCTATCTTATTCAGATGAACCTGTATTTGAACAATGCTTATGATGTTGAAAGCACATGCATCATGCTAATTTCATTTGATCATCTATCCTATTTTTGAAGTCCGTATTGGAAAAGAGATTTTATCATCTTGCAATGAAAACATTTCCAAAGCTGAATAATCCTGGATGCTTCCTGATATACTCTAATGCAGATTAAGTCTGTTTCTCTATAAAGAATACACAGACATAATTTTTATGTAAATGATTCATAATTATAGTTAAACATATTTTGAATGCTTGAAAAATAGATTTTCCTTTAATTTCCCTCTTTATTTCCACAGTTCTTTCCAAAGTTCTTATCTTGAACCATAATTATTTAATGGAGGTCCTAATTTCTTAGGATGTTTTCCTCCCCTAACTAGAAATCACGTATCTGCCTTGTGTCTGAGCCTTGCAGTGGACTTTAGGAAAGTGCTTTAATGATTTAACAGAATAATTCGTAAAAGTAAGTCATTCGTTATCTTCTCTAATCACCCCATGTTCTGTATTTCAAAGGATACAAAGGCTCCAAGTATAAAAAGAGCATTAAAGATATGATTCTGGAACGTGAACAGTGCCAGGCCCATGTAACAGAAGATGACGTTCTCCGCCAAAAAGTTCATAAATTCAAACAACTGAAACAAAACATAAAACAAAAAACCATTAATTATAACTCAGGTTTGAGTGCACTTACTTTCTGGTAACTGTATTTGACAACTGACTGGGTCTCCTTTATCTGGAAGGCCACCCCTTTGGCCGTGTGCTTAGCCTCTGAAGGAGGATGGAGGCCCTGGCTCTTGACCCAGGGACAGATGCCACAGCCACATCAGCATCCCATTCTTTCCAACTGTAAGGCTGCCAGAGACACGCCTGGGTAATATTAACCAGCATGATCCTTCCATGGAACAATTCCTACTAAGATGACAAAATAGTCCCTGTAAAAGAAACTGAAGCTAAGTGATTTGCTGAAGGTGTACTGTAGTAAATGACACAAAGATTGTTTAACCTCTGTGCACATTACCCAGTAGATCCACTTGACTTCCCAGGTACTGAACAACTGTTTTTTTTAAGCTTAAACTAAATTACCCTTCTCAGGCAGGCAGGAGGGACAAAGTTGGAAAACTTGGAAACCTGAAATAAGGATGAATGTCAATTACATTTTAACATTAGAGTGATCGGTATATTTCAAATCCCAGACGATGAGACTCATTAAATTGACTGATGTAGGTATATCCATTAAATGTCTACAATTTCTAGCTGCTAAAAAGAAAATGATTAATCCCAGGGATCGGTTTATGCAGCAAGAACACAATAGATACATCAAATTCAGTCAGAAGAATAGAGTAATAACATGCTATGATGAGGGATGTTCCCAAGAGTTATTCTTAGACCATTAACTAAACAATTTAAGTTGAACATGAAAAACGTTCTCCAACTTTCAGATTAAAAGTAAAAGGGAAATGTTCCAGGGGCTACAACAAAGGCAGATTTGGAAGACTTTATTTTATGTTCCAGACTTCTCATTTGGAAGTTTCTGAGACTCCATTCCTGGACCTACATAAATCACCATGTTAGGTAAATATCTCTGGAGGCATTTCTCTTGACTTTTTAAGGACTCATTATTTTTTCATGTAATGTATTTACAGCCCCACAAATAATGCCCAATACTGTTCACTGACAGTTGACAGAAAGAAAAGTAGAATCTTGTCAGAAACATTATTTAAAACCAGTAATAGAAAGAAAGGATTAAAAAAGAAACAGCCCTTTGGTACAAGATAGTTTTCTCTGCAGGGGCAGCCATCATCAATTATCCTGAATGCTTGCTTTACATCCCAGGCTGGCTCATGGAAACAAACACTGTCACCAAAATAACCAGAGAAAATTTGAAAACAACAGGAAAAATGTAGGGGACAGGGAATATTTTTCTGCCTCATTATATCTTTACTTTTTCAAAAAGTGAGATTTGGCTGTTGTCTTAATCTCCTCAGGCTGGTGAAATGAAATACCATATACTGAATGGCTTAAACAACAGAAATTTATTTCTCATAGTTCTGGAGGCTGGGAAATCCAAAATCAAGGTGCCAGCTGATTTGGTGCTGATGAGAGTCCTCTTCCTGGTTTGCCAAAGGCCATCTACTCGCTATGTCCTCACACCGAGGAGAGAGAGATCATCACTTTTGTGTTTCTTCTTATAAGGGCACTAATCCAATTTCTAAGGGTTCTATTATCATGATCTAACTCCCTCACAAGGGCCTCACCTCCAAATATCATCACAATGGGGATTAGAGCTTCAACATATGAATTTTTAGAGAGCAAAAACATTCTGTCCTTAGTAGCTATTTAGTTTTTTAACATCAATAAACAAATGTCAAGGTTAAATTTGTAGTGCCTCTCTTTCTTTTGTCCCCATCCCAACTGTATTTTACCCTAGAGTGAACATTTTGCCACCTGGACTCTATTCAGCCTCTCTTTAATGGCCTTACTCCAATTTCCCTCTGAGGGCCCACTTCATTCCCTACTCTCAGCCCATGTGTTCATGCCTCCCTAGCTCAAATATGGAGCATATAATTTAGGACTAAACCACTCAAATCGGTGCATTTCTTTAGGCAGCATGTTTGGCTCAGAAATGAGTGTGACATGTTTGGGCCCAAGAAAATTCCATTTGAATTCAACAAGTTTAATGCAGGGAATGCTGAGACAAAGGCCCCCACCTTTTCACAGGATGAGAAATCAGAAAGATGCTGGCCAGGAAGCTGCTGGCAGCCATTTTGGGATAACAGAGGAAATGGCCGCCTGAAAGAGAAGCCAGTTCCTGATAACAGTATTTAATCTTCTGTATTCAATCTCTCCCAAAACAAAATTTACCCTTGGATTTTTGCATTGAAGAGATCACGAAATCACTTTTTGATTTGAAGTAGGGTTCTATCATTACTCTAAAACAGTCCTATTTCAGTTAAATGAACAAAACAAAACACTTTTTCACTCTAAACAGATTATAAACAAAAGGGTGTGGGGTCAAATTTTTGTCTCTTTTCAGATAATAAGAAAGTCTGTTACCTTTGTCCCCCTCACCTCCACCATCCAATTTTAATCTATTCATCATCTTAATGAAAGAGGAGAAGTATATGGGAAAAGTCGTTTTGTTTTGATTTTTTCTATTTGTTATTGAGATGTGATGGGAATCTTTGCGCTACATTTTACATGGAGGCCCATAATTTTAAGTATTTGTTTTAGTGATTTGCTTCCTTTGAATAACCTAGGATTTTAACTTGATTTACTCACTCAACTTATTGAAATCTAACACTTCCCAGCATTACAAGTAACTGTGTACATACACATAGTACAAAAGTTTTGTTTTGCATTAAGGTCCGTTTTTGAACCTGCTCTTTGTTCGTGTTGTTATCTATTCTGCTGTCAATACTACACTCTTTTAAATTAATGTGGATCCATAATACATTATAATATTTCATAGTCTAGACTGTTCTCACACCCTACATTATTCAGAATTTTCCAGGTTATTTTTGCATGTTTAAAGAAATGTTGCAGCCTGGCCAACATGGTGAAACCCAGTCTCTACTAAAAATACAAAAATTAGCCAGGGATGGTGGTGTGTGCCTGTGGTTCCAGCTACTTGTGAGGCTGAGTCAGGAGAATAACTTGAACCCAGGAGGTGGACGCTGCAGTGAGCCGAGATCACACCACTGCACTCCAGCCTGGGCAACAGAGTGAGACTCTGTCTCAAAAAAATAAATAAATAAGAAAGAATGAAAGAAAGAGAGAAGGAAAGAAAAAAAAGAAAGAAATGTTTTTCTTGAGTTTAATCACCCAGGAAAGTGCATATATCATATGTTTATAATTTAAGATTTAAAAAAAAAATTAACAGCATCCCAGAATCACTCTTCTCTCTCACAATATCTCTTTCCATGATTTAACTACTATTAGCACCTCTACCACCACAAATTAGCTTTTCTTGTTTTTCAGTTTTATATGAATGGAATTGGACAATACATACCCTCGCATTTGTCATCTTTGACTCAGCAATATGTTTGTGAGATTCTTCATATTGTATTTAGTTCATTTAAAAAATTATATTAATGTATTACAAGGTACTTATTCATACTACTATTAATAGACACTTGGGTATTTTCTAGTTTGGGGCTATGATAAATTTTGCTGCTAAAAATACATGTTTGCCTTTCTGTAGAATTGTTGGGACATAGTGCCATGCAGTTTCCCAAAGCGGTGGTATCAATTTGCACTCCAATCAGCAATTCTAGTAGCTTTACATCTTGCCAACACATTTTACTGATGTTTTCTGAAATGACACTTTTGCCTCTTGATATTGCCACTTGAACTTAGGAATCAACTTTTCAATTTCCACAAAACTTACCTATTGGCATTTTAGTTGGAATAGTATTAATTTATAGATAAATTCGGATAAAATGCACTTCTTTTTAATATTCAAGTTTGGATCCATGAATATCATATATCCTTATAATTATTTTGGCTTTCTTAAATTTTTATATAAAGATTTTTCACATCTTTGTTTAGATTTATTCCTAGATATTTGATGTTTCTTGTTATTATTGTAAATAGTACCTTTTTCAAAGTTCCTTTTCTAATGTTCATTGCTAGATTCACATATACAATTGATTTTTAAAATTGACCTAGTATTCAGGGCCTTAGTAAATTTAGTTAATAATTCTCACAGTTTATTGGTAGTTTCTTTTTGATTTCCACAGTCATGTTGCTTTCAAATAAGGATAGGTTTTTTTCCTTTCCAGTCATCATACATTTTTCATGTTTTTGTTTGTTTCATTACACTTGTTAGGACCTCCAGCACAGTGCAAAATACAAGTGAGATATGGGCATCTTTGTTTTTTTCCCAATCTCAAAATGAACATTTTTCACTATTTCTCTATCAAATTTATAGAAATTCTGAACAGATTAAAGAAGTTCCCTTTTGTCCTTAAGTGTTGGTTTTTATAAAATGTTTTTCCTTTACCTATTAAGATGATCATATGGTATTTGTTTTTTCACTTTTAAAATGTTGTTAATTACATTAATTGATTTTCGAATGCTAAAACAGTCTTGCATTCCTGCAATAAACCTTACTTGGTCATTATATATTAACCTTTTTTATATACCACTGGATTTAATTTGCTAAGATTGTGTTTAGGATTTTTGTGTCCATATATTTTATACAGTTTTACCAGGTTGTATTGTTAAAGTTACTCAGGTATCACAAAACAGATTCCTGTTCTCTTCCTTAAATGCTTAGGAAAATTCTAGGCTTGGATTTTTTTTTTGTAGGAAGATTTTTAATTACAGATACAAATATTTAATAAATATGGGCTTAGTCAAATATTCTATTTACTTTTGGATCAGTTTTAGAAAGTTATGTTTTTCAAAGAATTTGTCATTCCACCTACATTTTTGTATTTTTTGGCATACAGTTGTTCTTAATATCCTCAATATTTGTGTCTGTATTTATATCTTTCCCCATGTTATTAGGAAATTGTGTTACTTTTCTTATTCTTGATGAATCTTGTAAGGTAAGTTATTAACTTTATGAGTGTTTTCAAGAAGCAACTTTGGCTTGTCGATTTTTCTGTATGGCACCCTCCCTTCCCATTTTATTAATTTCTCTCTTTATTATTTCCTGCCTTCAACATAGCTTAGTTTAACCTGTTTTTATTTAGTATCTTGATCCTTCAGGTCCTGGATGTCATGGCTGCTCATGTCAGACACCTGCTTTTCTGTGTATGACACAGCTTTTCTAGTTGCTTTCTCAAAGAGAGCTGTCCTGACGTCTGCAGTCTTTCCTAGCTAGCTCTTCTTGTATGTATATTTTTCCAGGTGAAAACCAATTTTTGTCAGTACCTCCTACCTCCCAACAATTTTATAGTATTTTATTTTATGGTATTTATAATGTTATAGTATATATAAGATACCATAAATATCATAAATTTATAAAATACCATAAATACCACAATTTTATGGTATTTATAAAATATCATAAATGCAATAAAATTTGCATTTTATTGTACCACAATAAAAATGTATACAATTTAGAACAAAATAAGAGTTTTATAATATTTGGGAAAAAAGATAGATTGTTTGGAAAGATTTACAGTGAAAGTTGACTACTTGGGGTAAAAATAACCAGAAACCAAAGATGGATTCTAGCTCACTCCTTATACTCAAATTACAGAAAAATAATCAATTTAAAGGAGAAAACAAAACCTACTTATGAATTATTCAATAAGTCATCAGTAATTTTGTACATAATTTTTCAATCGGGAAATTTTATAAGAATTGTTTGTATTAGTAAAAACCTGGAAACAAATATCCATAATATAAGAAATAGTTAAATAAATTATAGTATAATACATTCATGTAACAGCCTATATTTTAGGGAGTTCTATATGAACTAGTATAAAAAGATATCTAAGATCTATTGTTAAATAATAAACAATTAAAGAAATAAAGGATAAATCTAGCTGAGTATTAACATGTACATATCCATGTAACTTTCACTCACTTTATGGACATTTGCATAATTTTAATTATAATGAGGATAATTTTAATTATGCAGATGCCCATAGAGTGAAAGTTATATAAAATTTCTTAGATAAAATTCCTGACATGAGTTGTCCTCTCACGAAGGGGATACGTTTTCTTTTTAAGCATAGTAAAAATCTGCCCTTCAGAAAGAATGAAGCAATTTGCATCTCTACAAATGGTGCAGAGGGTGCCCTTTTCCCCATATTCTTGCCAAAGTAGTTTTTATCAGTTTTTAAAAACCTTTGACAATATGATAGAATCACTTATTTTCAATTGTAGATGGTTGTTGGCATTTTAAAAAAGGCTTCTTTCACAGCAATGCAACAGTACTGATTAGCACTCCTTTTGTCTATTTATATCACGTAACAACATTTCTTTGAATGAACAGTCTTCATAATAATTTCCTTCTTGGGGCATTTAATGAGAATCTGTGGGCAAATTCAATTTTGTTTCATATGCCAAAATCTCCTGAAGGCATGTTTCAAAGGGAGAATCTATACAGCAAGGCCAGCTGACAGAACCAATTTGACCGTTAGGACTTCATTGCCTGAGTCTGGCCCGAAGGAGTACGCAATCACTGAGGGAATAAACTTATTGGTCAATTTTGGATAAAATTTTAAAAAATGAAAAAAATCTTCCACCCCAAAGCCAATAATAATAATCACAATAACAACACATTTCAAACTAGTCAATTCAGTGTTCAATATAAATAACTTCAAATCTACTTCCTCCCCACTCAGGGTCAGTAAAAAATAACTTGACTCAACTTTTTATTTATCCGGTACAGTAAACATTTATTTTGTTTCCATTACTTCACAGTTTGTGAGCATTTGGAGAGGACCCAAGTTAAAAGTAATCTTTGCTTAGCAGGGCTTTTGTTCAAGGGGCAGGGGGGAAGCAAGTTAATAGTGCAAACAAGACTGGGGAAGTATTTAAACTGCGTAAGAGGACAATCTGTGTTTAAAAACTCTGAACGCTCATGGTAACCATTCATATGTTAATTAAGTGACTTAATCTAGTTAGCAAACCATGTTCTCTGAAGACTTATTGGATACTATGCTTTTTATTGAGTTACTGTATTTACTAGAAAGTAAAAAAAAAGTCATATCTATTTTATAAAATATGTTTATCACTAATTCTGATTGACCTTTTTCTTCTATCCACACAAAAAAATGTAATTTTACCATATTATTATGGTTCATAGGGAAATATTACAGCCGTTCAATATACCTGGCTAATACTAATTAAATTCACATGAATTCCTCAACATAGCTTTTATGAGGCTCGACACAGCTTTTATGAGGCTCGACACAACCTGCTGACTTTCATCTACTTGTCTATGAAAGGCACTGAAATTCGTTGAAACCGAGATGTTAAATAATCTCAAAACTGCAATGAAAATTAAATGAAATGGTTATTTTCTTTAGAATTTTATCTCAGAATTAATCTTGGCTTATATTTTCATTTTACTTGTAAAATTTGTCTTTATTCCTAACTGGGAGCTTTCTACACAGAATATCTCAGATTTCATTTTTATATACTATTAAGTATATCCATAGCTATTTTGAACAAAGCTGGCATATAGGTGAATAATTTTTATTCCTGCATTGGGGAATTTGCAAATAAGCATTACAATAAATGCTATTGAAATGATAAACTTTTGCTCCTACGATTTAATTTAATTAATATTTTGGGCTGAGTACGGGGACTCTATTGATGGTGCAGGACAAAGTGGGGCTTTCTAGGCCCCTCCCATTCTTCAGAGGGTGTGGCATGGAAACTGTGTCTAGAAGGGGAGATTCTCAGTGTGGTTGGGGGGTACTAAGTGGGGCAGGGACTGCACAGCAGCTGAGGGCCTCTCTTTTACTCTCATGCTGTCACTGGGGCTGGTGGTCTAGGAGGCCATGTGGACCATAAGGCCTCCCACCCTGTTGCTGTAGCCAAATTCATGGTCATATCAGGAAATGAGCTTAACAAAGTGGTCATTGAGAGCAATGCCAGTCCCAGCATCAAAAGTGGAAGAATGAGTGTCACTGTTAAAGTCAGAGGAGACAACCTGGTGCTCACGATGCCCAGGATGCCCTTGAGGGGACCCTCCAAAGCCTGCTTCGCCACCTTCATGATGTCATCATATTTGGCACAAGTCTCTCCAGATGGCAGGTCAGGTCTGTGACTGATGTTGGCAGTGGGAACATGGAAGGATATGCCAATGAGCTTCCTGGTTCAGCTCAGGGATGACCTTGCCCATGCCTTGGCAGTGCCAGGAGATGCAGGGATGATGTTCTGGAGAGTCCTGCAGCCATCACACCATGGTCTCCCGGAGCGGCCACCCATGGTCTTCTAGGTGGCATTGATGGCATGGATGTGGCCATGAGTCCTTCTATAATGCTAAAGTTGTCATGGATGGCCTTGGCTGGGAGGCTAAGCAGTTGGTGACACAGGAAGCTTTGCTGATGACTGTGAAGTTGTTTTTGCACTTCTCATGATTTACATCCATCATGAACATGGGGGCATCAGAGGAGGGGGCAGAGATGATGACTCTTTGGCTTCCTTATCTAAGTGAGCCTCAGCCTTCTCCATGGTAGTTAATACACTGGTGAACTCCACAACATAATCAGTGCCAGCATCGCCCCATTTGACTGGGGTAGGATCTCACTCCTGGAAGATGGTTATGGGATTTCCACTGATGACAAGCTTCCCGTTCTCAGCCTTGATGGTACTGTGGAACTTGCCATGGGTGGAATCATACTGAAACATGTAGGCCATGCAGTTGAGGACAGTGAGGGGGGTTGTTGATGGCAGCAATATCCACTTTGCTAGATTTAAAAGCAGCACTAGTGACCAGGTGCCCAATACAGCCAAATTCATTTACTCCGGCCTTCACCTTCACCATGGTGTCTCAGGGATGTGGCTGGGGTTGCACGAGAAGATGTGGCTGTCTATTGAATGGGAGGAGAAGAGAGCTGCTCCTCGGATTTTAATTTTCACTCAGTTCCAAGTACTTAGGAAATGTGTTTGAGGGGAACCCAATAATTCTCATGGGCTGTAGAGGTGGCACAGGAGATGAATTATAATAATGACCTTTACCACCAGAACATAAGGATTCTGAAGGCTTTTTTGCCTATTAAGGCCACGGTTCCCCAGTGACGCTTCCTCTATAAAGTTGAAGATTTACAGTTACATATAGGTAAAGTGCAATCTTTGGAGATCCTTCTATATCTAAAGCATTATAGTAATATCAATATTACTACTTCTAAAATAGTAACAATGTTAATGAAATTCCTATTTTTTTAGGACCTAAATTGTACTAAGAAATGTATTAAAAGCTTTTACATACTTTAACAATTTTTAAAAACCTTTATGTTATAAAGTCAACAAAACTCAGGAATTGGTAATAATATTCCCATTTTACCATTGGGAAAACTACATTCAAAGGCATTAATACACTTGCATTAACACAATAAAGGGAAGAGGTCAGTTGTCCTGAGTTTTGTCCAAGGCTCACACCATTTGTGCCAGACTAGGCAGCCTCCCCATTGTATACGATTCAGGCTCTGGAGTGGCAAGATGTTTGAATATTTGTAACACTTTCAAGTTTGCAAAGCATATTTTCATACACACATCTTGTTTGATCATCGGAACAAGTCAGGGGTTGGCAGGGAAGATATCAGTGACTCTGACCATATTTTTCCCAGGTTAAAAAAAAAACTTAAAAGGTAAATTTCTTTGTACCCAATTAGTGGAAGCAACAGTGTGTGGCTTGAGGCGGGGGATACTTATCCTCTCCCAAATATCTATCACCACTCACCCATCCAAGCCAACCCCTCCTACACTCATTCTCTCTCCCTGCCCCCAAAAAGCAAAACCAAAGCTCTTGCCATGTATTTGAAGTTTTAAGACAAATCCTTTTCCAAATAACCCTCTTTTCAACCCAATTTCTTCTTCAGACAAATTCTGTTTTGCCCTGTGCCCTACAGTAACATGATAATGATTATATATAGCTTTATATATGCATATAAATTATACATATAGATTATGTATATGCCTAGAGTAAGACAAATGTCATCCAGTTTGGCAGGCTGGGCCCCAAATCCAACATCAGATTCTCCAAGTTGTTTAGGACTATCCAGTCCCTGTAGTAGAGGAGGTGCACCACTTAAGCGTTCAGAGAGCTGCTCTTTATCATATATTTCTTTGTTTGAGAATTTTGGGGTTCCCTATGCACTCCTGCTTGCTACCCAGCCCTCTCCTGTCTCGTATATTTCATTGTCTTCTTTTAAACTTAATCTTGCTTTTTAAAAACATGAGAATTTCAAAAGCACAGCCTATAAAAACACAACAAAACACATTTTAGGAAGATGAATAGGCATCATTAAGTAAGTAAAGTTAATATAGGACATAAATGTAGTTACAGCTACAAGGAATTGAGCTTCATTAAACTGAATAAATACTGAATAAATACTGTAGCTAGATTTCCTGAAACCCTCAAGCTTATAACTTAAGGGGAAGGCCATTTTCTCTGAATTTGCTTAATTACTTTAGCCAGTAAATACTGATAATAGTATTCATATTTCTGGAAGTTTTCCACTTTGGAGTCTTCCCTTTAAAAAAAAATTTTGCTATTAAAGTAAAAGTCATTGCAGGATTTTGTAAGGTTGCATTTAAGTTAATATACATAAAGTTAAGAATAGCTTCTCATGTTGGCACCTTGACAGAGTACTTATCATGATACTGCTCAGAGATATTGGTCATGAAATAGATTGACCTTAGATCCATTTTGATGAATTTAAACACAGGTACACATATGCACACAGAATTTAAACCATAAGACTTCAAGAGTAGAATTACTTTGTAATGTATATAGTCCAAACATCCATCCAATGCCTGATTGCTCCTATATGCTTGTTGAGGGGCTGCTCAACCTGGAACTGAACATTGCCAAAGGCAGAAACCACACTACTTCCTAAGGAAGTGAATGGCATTTTTGGACCTATATAACTGTTAGAAATCCTTCCTTATGTTCAGCTAAAATTTGGCTATTACTTTCAACCACTTCTCCTATTTCTTTGGTTCACAGAAAAATGAGTCACATAGGGTATCATTTTATTTTATATTGCTTGGCTCTAACAGCAGAGAGGGGATTTTTATCAGAATAGTTGCAGCAGTAGGCAATTCCACAGTTTAGGCAGCAACTGCCACTTTTCATTCAACAGTCTTATTAGTTTTGAAAATAAACATTTTGCTGCTGTGAGTTTGTGGCTGACATATGAGGTCTTGAGTCTAGAATATCTGCAAAGGCTGGGGGACTCTTTTGGAGGACACTTATTTGAATGTAATGCTGGTTACATTCAAACAAGTGTCCTCCAAAAGATTTTCTCAGTAAATCTAATAGTACTGGTCCTTTGAAAAAACAAAAGTTGTAGAATAAGACAATTAGTTTCTCTGTGGTTTTGCCAATAAGTACTAACTAAAGAAAATTGCCTAGTTGAAACAATATATTTTCTGTGCAGAAATTAAAATCGTGTCTTTAAAAAATCCCTTAATGAATAAGCCAAGAAAAACATTGATATTAATATTAGGTACTGGTATGGAAAATTCACACATTATCACATTTTTCAAAGGTTAACAGTCCCTTTTCTTTAACTTTTTTTATTTAGAGATTGCTGACCTCCTTCCTTATTCATCTTGTGCATATTATCTTAAGATTTTGTTTTTTAGAGCAATTTTAGGTTCATAGCAAAATTGAGAGGAAGGTACAGAGATACCCCATATACCTCCTATCCCGACACATGTACAGCCTCTCTCATTATTATTATCATTATTATTATTATTATTTTTATTTTTTGAGATGGAGTCTCACTCTGTCACCCAGGCTGGAGTGCAGTGGCGCGATCTCTGCTCACTGCAAGCTCTGCCTCCTGTGTTCACGCCATTCTCCTGCCTCAGCCTCCCGAGTAGCTGGGACTACAGGTGCCCGCCACAGCGCCCGGCTAATTTTTTGTATTTTTAGCAGAAACGGGGTTTCACCATGTTAGCCAGGATGGTCTCAAACTCCTGACCTCGTGATCTGCCTGCCTCGGCCTCCCAAAGTGCTAGGATTACAGGCGTGAGCCACTGCGCCTGGCCCAGCCTCTCTCATTATTAATATCCCTCATTAGAGTTGTGCATTTGTTACAATTAATGAATCTATGTTGAAGCATCATTATTAGCCAAAGCCCATAGTTTACATAAATGTTCACTCTAGGTGTTAAACATTACTTGTGTATCTTTTTGTCTTTGTAATTAGCCTATGCTAAACTCTTAGGTGGGAGTATGAAGAATACATGTCTTAGTTCTGGCTTCTATAATAAATACACCATAGACTGGGTGGCTGAAACAACAAACACCCATTTATCACAGTTCTGGAGGTTAGGTAGTCCAACATTAAGGTGGCTGCAGATCTGGTGTTGAGAGCCCATTTCCTAGTTTGCAGATGGCTCTTTGGTTGTATCTTCATATGCTGGAGAGCAGAGAGAATGAGCAAGCAAGCTCTCACGTCTCTTCTAATAATGGCATGAATCCCACTAGTGAGGGCTCCACCCTCATGACCTAATTATCTCCCAAAGGCCCCAACTCCAAATACCATTAAATTGGGGGTTAGGTTTCAACATGGGGGATACAAACATGCAGTCCATAGCAACACATGAAAAAAGGAAATATTTCTAATTATGTTTTTTTAAGGTGTCTGAACTGAATACCAAAATCCTAGCCATTGCCAGTCAGATGAGTAACAACTGTTTAAGACATGACTGAGGATACTCCACTCCATCCACTATGAGAACCATGTGCTCTTTCTAAATTAACATTTACTGCTAGCAACAAACAGAATATTAAGTCCCAGATATCTAGAGATGTGTTTGATCTCTTCATGCCAACCCAATCCCTTGATAAAAGTATTGCAAACTAAAATACGTAGGATTGAGAACATTATTCAGTGATGTTTCATGATCGGCCATTACACAGTGGAATGCATTAGATCATCAGGACAAACACAAAACCCTAGAATCAAACCAGTATTCATTCAAGCAGGCTTTGTCACTGCCAGTGCTGCACTTGTCTGAAATAACACTTAGTTTCATAACCAGCTTGAAGATTTCAAGAGCTTACTTGTTTTATGTTATGTTATTCTCAATAAACATTTTCATTATGTTAGTGTATATTGAGATTCCTTTAAAAAACTTTCTGAATTCGGTAGTTTTATATATTCTACTGTAATGGTACAACAGTAATCAGAACTTCTCAGAAAAATTTCTTTTACCACATTTCCCCCATCTCCAATTTATGAGGAAAAAGAAAAGAGGACTAATTAAACTGATTTACTATTTAACCTGACCAAATTCATTGCTCAACTTTTCCTTTCACTTTTGGGTCATCTTTTGGGTAAGATATAAAAGTAAATATTTTACAATTTAGAAGGTGAAGAGGCACAGATGCTTTTCTTGAGTATTTCAGTAAGATTTTTAATGTAATAAATGGAGGACATAGCACTCAACTTTATACTATATGTAAACAGTGATATTAAAACTCTTAATTTTTGTTCTACAGGTGGTTATAAGTTTACTTGATTTAACTAACAAAGAAAATAAAAAGCTACAACAAACAGTTAAAACTCATTGTCATTAGGCAGATGTCTTTGAATTCAATTTCTGATCTATGGCAGAGTGGACTATGGAAAGGCATGCAATAGAAAGCTTGAAACTTAGAGTAGAACATTGATTCTTTGGGACATGATAAGAAATTGGAGAGTGTAAAAGAGGCTTTATAAATCAGAGAAATCAATGAAAATGAAAGACAAAAATATATGACATTTGGATAATGTCATTCAATTGGAGAATAGACTATCAGATAATTTTTATAAAGGCATGGCTATAAATAAATCAATAGCTGATGAAAATTATGTTTGCTTAACTTGTTCCTTTGTAATGGATAGTTAAAATATACTGACTGTAGATTGTCAATGTTTATATTAAACTCCAGAAAATTCTTATTTTACAACGATTAAGTTTTTTGAGCTTTCTTTTGATGAGATTTATAAAGCTCCCCTCTGTAAAGCCTCTGTGTTGAAGCTACTGCACGCCCTTGAGAATATAGGCAAAATGCCAAAAATTATAAATTATTACAGTGTAAGAGTGTATTTCTCTTTGTATCCAAGGAAGAAAGTTATATTTCATATAAAGACCATGCATGCATAAAACAGCTCTGAATGAGAGCTTTAGCTCTGACTTATTTCTGTGGTTTGGGGTCAATTTTGTTTTTGTTCCAATCTGTTTAGGTCCTTCAAAGTTACCCTACAAAGATCCCTGAGAAAGTGCTCTTGTATATGTGTATTTATGATGATTTTCAAAAATTAGTTTATCTGCAAAAAAATTATATACATATATATGGAGAAAGACTGTACTATAGATATGTGCTAGAAGCTCTTAGTCTCCACTCTCTAGATTAATCCCCTATTTGTTCTGTAAAACATACTGTCTAATGTCCTCTACACACTAAATGCTGACGCTTAGTAAGTTGCTCTCCAGTGTGCCCAGGTAACTTCTGCTTCCACCACATGAATTTTATGCTTAACAAGAGCCATGCTTGTTCCAAAATTTGTTTTTGTCTACTTTAAATTGATATTTGTAATTGCATAATTTGTATAGATTAAATGTGGATATGAAAGAAAGTTGATGTTTTTCAAAAAACTAAGTTAAATATGCAGAAAGACTTGATAAAATTAAGTTGCTTAGAAAATATTACTAAATTAGTAGTGAGAAGGACAATTGTAAAATGTTGCAAAAATGTATATCCAAATACAGACAGATTCTTATATTTGCCAATGTCTTTAATCTCAAAACTAAAGCAATAGAAATACTAGAAATTCTGGTTGATATATTTGTGGTGTACTTTGTGAAAGAAAGGCAACTCAGAACTGTAATATTCAAAGAAAAAACATTGTCTTTATTAAAAGATTGGAAAATTAATATATAATTTATAAGTGAAAATTAAATACCCGAGATATTTGTGTCATTTTATAGAATGATTCTTTGCTTTAGATGACTTTTCCATTAATTAGCTGGTTCCGATCCTGTGTTGGATAAAAGCACCTAGGCTCTGAGTGTCTATTATTTCTCTACTTCAATTTTTGAAAAATATTGAAAAATTTTCAAATTTAATTTTTTCATCCGATTCTTATTACGTCTTCTTGTACCCGCTTCATATTACTAACATTCTACTTTATCTCTTTAAGGATACTAATTATGCCCATTTTAAATTCTTGGTCCATATGTTCCAGTAATTTTGCTTCATGTTTATGTTCTATGTTCAGTTTTTGGTCTGTTTTCTACTGGTTGTATGCATTGAACATCTTGCTGTTTTGGCCTGTGAGTCACATTTTCCTGGGGTCAAACTTGTTAGGCAAGGTGTGTGGGGAAAGGCCCATATACACACTGGAATATCCCCTCAGTAATGTTCAGAAGGAAAAGGGTAAGCTCCAGGGTGGAGAAAAGCTTTAACACAACCAAATTTTTGACCATCAATGTCTGCCTGTTCACTTCTCCAAGAAATTCCTGTCAGGAATTTGCCTTTAAATCTTTAGAATGAAGCAACACTGAAAAGACACGATTTCTTCAGATCCTCCATCTTCCATTAGCCCAGAGAATTTGGGGGTGCAGAAGATCGAGAAAAGAATGCCCACGGGCAATTCTCGCACTTTCATCAAGTTGTTTGGCCCCAGACACCACAATGGATGCCTTGGGCTGGTGCAGTGGGGGTGGGCGGATGATCACCCCAAAACAGTCAAGTAAAGAGGGGAAGGAAGAAGTTAAAATCTTTGCCTGAACCTCTCTTCCTACTTCTGTTTCTGGCTACTGTCCAAGCTATGGCCATCCTTTCCCTTGCCCCCACGACCTTTAAGACAACCTTGGCCTTTCCAGGTGTTCTCCTAGTTAATTATTACTTCTTCAGCTCCCAGCTTCCTCTCAGTTATGCAGTCCCTCCAGTTTTAATTGGGGAGGAAGGAGCCAGCAGCTGAAGCTATTTGCTATCTCGTCAGCACTGATTTTTGTATTCTTTTTTGAAGTTGGAATTGCTGATTGAGAATGATAAATGGTATTGAGGTGTTCTCTACAGGGAAATATGCTCAGTTTAATTTGAGTCAAATTACAGCCCGTGTTAGGAGTACTAAGCCAAGGCTCAGTGGCCCAAGAGGCAGACCACTTGTGCAGTATTAACTCAACAATGTTTTACTCCAGCAATACTGGAGGACCTTGTCCAGGCATAACTGGGGGTATGACGTAGTCTGTGGCCTAAGCCCTCAGCCTCTCTGTGAAGTGGCACACCCTCCTTTCCTTGGATGAGGAAATCATTCATTTCAGATTTCTTGGGACTGACCTATTTTCAGACACTTTGGTCTTTTATCTGCATCTATACATAATTGTGTCTTTCCACCATTTGTTCTATATTTGGTCTAGAAAATAATAGTCATTCTACCCAAAGACATATCATTTCTTATATGCCTTATACTTCAGATGCTGAATACCCTGGAATTTCACCTTGTGGTAAATCAAACTGAATACTCCAAAAAAAGGGTAAAGTCACAAAACAGGCAATTTCTCAAACAACATGTATGGATAGCCCAAAAACTTGTCTGTAAGCTCAGCAAGAGCACCAACCATATTCGTTTTGTTTGTCACTGAACCTCAACTCACAGCAGAGAACTTAGCATATCATAATGCTCCATAAATATCTGCTGAATGAATAAAATTAATAAAAGGCAACTCTCAGGAATTGCTTGGTGGCACTGAAAGTTTGTATAATCATCCAGCACGGAGATTAGGAATATGTAATAAAACTTTATAGGATCTAAAACGTTGAACTGAGCAATTACACTTACTAGAATTTATCCTAAGGAAATAATGTAACAAGTAGACATAGATTTACATTTAGGATGTTAACTACTTAAAATGAAAAGGGTGGAAAACCACCAAAACATATATCAAAAAGAGAATACTTAAACTACAGGCATACTACAGGAGATATTGTGGGTTTGGTTCCAGACCACTGCAATAAAGCAAATATAGCAATAAAATGAGTCACACACAATTTTTGGTTTCACAGTGTATATAAAAGTTATGCTTACATGATACTGTAGTCTATTAAGTGTACAATACCGTTATGTCTAAAAAACAATGTACATGGCTGGGTGCGGTGGCTCACGCCTGTAATCCCAGCACTTTGGGATGCCAAGGCGGGTGGATCACGAGGTCAGGAGTTCAAGACCAGCCTGACCAAGATGGTGAAACCCCATCTCTACTAAAAATACAAAAATCAGCTGGTCGTGGTGGTGGGTGCCTGTAAGTCCAGCTACTTGGAAGACTGAGGCAGAGAATTGCTTGAACCCGGGAGGCAGAGGTTACAGTGAGCCAAGACTGTGCCACTGTACTCCAGCCTGGGTGACAGAGCGAGACTCTGTCTCAAAAAACAAACAAACAAAACAAAGCAAACAAAAGAAATGTACATGTATTCATTAAAAATGCTTTATTACTAAAAAATGCTAACAATCACCTGAGCCTTCAGTGAATCATAATCTTTTTCCTAGTGGAGGGTCTTAACCTAGATGTTTAATGGCTCCTGACTGATAAGGCTGGTGGTTGCTGAAGGCTGGGGTGGCTTTGGCAACTTCTAAAAATAAGGCAACAATGAAGTTTGCTAAATTGAATGACTCTCCTTTTACAAAAGATTTTTCTGTAGCATGTGATGCTATTTGATAGAATTTTACCCACAATAGAACTTCTTTCCAAATTAGAGTCAATCCTCTCAAACTCTGCGGCTGCTTTATCAACCAAGTTTATGTGATATTCTAAATCTTTTGTTGTCATTTCAACAATGTTCACAGCATCTTCACAATGGATTTTCTTGAAAATCCATCTCAAGAAGCCACTTTCGTTGCTCATCCATAAGAAACAACTCATCTGTTCAAGTTTTATCATGAGACTGCAGCAATTCAGGCTGTTTTTAATTCTATTTCTCTTGCTATTCCTACCACATTCGAAGTTACTTCCCCCACTGAAGTCTTGTATCCCTCAAAATCATCCATGAGGGTTGGAATCAACTTCTTCCAAAGCCCTGTTAATGTTGATATTTTGACCTCCTTTCATAAATCACAAATGTTCTTAATAGCATTTAGAATGGTGAATCCTATCCAGAAGGTTTTAGATATACTTGCCCAGATCCATCAGAGGAATCACTTTCCATGGCAGCTATAGCCTTGCAAAATGTATTCCTTAAATAAGAAAGTCAAAATTACTCCTTGATCCATGGGCTGCAGAATGGATATTTGTTAGCAGGCATGAAAACAACATTCACCTCTTTGCACATAGCTATCAGAGCTCTTGGGTGACCAGGTGCATTGTCAATGAGCAGCAATTTTTTAAATTTATTTTTTATTTATTATACTTTAAGTTCTAGGGTATATGTGCACAACGTGCAGGTTTGTTACATATGTATACATGTGCCATGTTGGTGTGCTGCACCCATTAACTGATATACCTAATGTCATTTACGTTAGGTATATCTCCTAATGCTATCCCTCCCCCGTCCCCCTACCCCAGGACAGGCCTCGGTGTGTGATGTTCCCCTTCCTGTGTCCAAGTGATCTCATTGTTCAATTCCCACCTATGAGTGAGAACATGCGGCGTTTGGTTTTTTGTCCTTACAATAGTTTGCTAAGAATGATGGTTTCCAGCTTCATCCATGTCCCTACAAAGGACATGAACTCATCCTTAAAAAGAGCAGCAATATTTTGAAAGGAACCTTTTTTTTTTTTTCTGAGCAGTAAATCTCAATGGCGGTTTCTTCAAACAAACCATGCTGTAAACAGATGTGCTGTCATCCAGGCTTTGTTGGTCCATATATAGAGCACAGGCAGAGTAGATTTAGCATAATTCTTAAGGGCTCTAGGATTTTCAGAATAGCAAATAAGCATTGTCTTCAACTTAAGTAAACAGCTACATTAATCCCTAACAAGAAGGTCAGCCTGTCTTTTGAAACTTTCAAACCAGGCATTGACTTCTCTCCAGCTATGAAAGTCCTACATGGCATTTTTGTTCAATAGAGGCTGTTTTATTTACACTGGAAATCTGTTGTTTAGTGTAGCCACCTTTATCAATTAGCTAGATCCTCTGGATAACTTGCTACAGCTTCTACATCAGCACTTGCTGCTTCACCTTGCACTTTTATGTTATGGAGACAGCTTCTTTCTTCAAACGTCATGAACAAACCTTGCTAGCTTCAATCTTTTTCTCTGCAGCTATCTTGCCTCTTAGCCTTCACAGAATTGAAGGGAGGGTCTTGCTCTGCATTAGGCTTTTGGCTTAAGGGAATGTTGTAGCTGGTTTTATCCTCTATCCAGACCACTAAAACTTTCTCTATATCAGCAGTAAGACTGTTTTGCTTTTTTTTGTTATCATTTGTGTGTTCACTGGAGTAGCATTTTAAATTTATTTAGAAAACTTTTCCTTTGCATCAATAAATTGGCTGTTTTGTGCAAGAGACCTAGCTTTCGGCCTGTCCTGCCTTTTGACATGCCTTCCTCACTAAGCTTAATCATTTCTAGCCTTTGATTTCAACCCAGACATGTGCAACTCTTCCTTTCACTTAAACACTCAGAGGCTATTTTAAGGTGATTGGTTAGCCTAATTTCAGTGTTTTTGTGAATAGGGAGGCCAGAGAGGAGCAAGAGAGATGGGGGAATGACCAGTTGGTGGAGCAATCAAAACACAGACAACTATTAAGTTTGCCATCTTATATGAACATGGTTCATAATGCCCCTAAATAATTACAATAGTGACATCAAACGTTGTGGATGACAGCTCATCATAACACATATAATGAAAAAGCTTATGATAGTGTGAGAATTAGCAAAAGGTGACACAGAGACATAAAATGAGCACATGCTGCTGGAAAGATGAGGCAGAGAGGCTTGCTCCAAGCAGGGTTGCCACAAAATTTCAATTTGTAAAAATTGCAGTATCTGTAAAGCACAATAAAGAGAAGCACAATAAAATGAAGTATGACTGTCTACAAAAGGCATTACACTTCTGAAGGCTCACCAGCATATACGATGTTTTCTACAGTTTTTTTCCCACTAGATACTGTATCACATAGAGGAAGTTCTTCCCTTTTATACCTTGCCAAACATTTTTAAATTAATATGTCTTGAATGTTTTCTATTAAATGCGTTTTCTGTATCTACTGAGAGATTATTTTCTCTTCATTTGTTAATGTAGTAAACTGTACTCACAATTTTCTAATATTATTCTTATATTCCTGGGATAAATGCAGGTTAGTCATATGTATTTTTTTACATTGATGAATTTGGCTTGTTGATTGTTTACAACCTTTATATCTCTGTTTACGAGATTGGCATATATTTTTCATTTGTGTTACTGACATAAACTGATCTTCATTTCTGGAGTATTATCCTAGCCTCATGAAATGATTTGAGGTGCATTTCTCTTTTGTCTTTTCTCTTTCACGGTTTGTATAAAATTGGAGTGATCTATTCCTTGAAAGTTAGGTAGAACTCACCTAGGAAAAATTCTGGGCCTTGTGTTTTTGGGTGAATGGATTTTTAGCTACTGACTCAATTTCTTGAAAGATTGCAGGGCTATTTAGGGTTTTTTTCTTCCTTCAGATAGTTTAGTCAGTTATACACTTCTAGGAAATTGTCCATTTAAGTTTTCTGATGTATTTGCATAAACTGTACACGACATGTTCTTACTTTTTAATCTCCACAGCACCTCCAGTCATGCTCTTCTCTTATAGCATTGCTTATTTTTGCTCTCTCTCTGACTTATCAAAATTGTCTATTTTATTTGTCTTTTCAGTGAAACACTTTTGACTTGGTTAATCATCTTTATTTCAGTTTTCTTATCTATTTCTTTTTATTTCAGCTTTTATCTTTATTTTTTGCTAAATTCTGCATTGTTTGGATTTGTTCTGTATGTTCTTTTTCTAACCTCTCACACTGGTATCTTAACTCGTTAAATTTAAGTCTCTTGTGCCTTTTAACATAAACATTAAAGGATATAAATGCCTTAATTTCAATTAAATGCTACATTTAATTAGCTGCATCTGGAAAATTCGGGTATGCAGCTTTTATCGTATTTATTTTATAAAATTAATTACAATCAAGCAAATACATAAATCTGCTTTTAAAAATTAGAGCATTACTGATGACAGAGTCTCCTTTGATTACCCTTCTTTGCTTCCTGCCTCTCCTACCCTATGTAAAATATTTTTATTGAGAGAGGTATATTTATTAAAGTAGTAGTGTATTTTCATGTGTTTTAAAATAGGTATCATTCTGAAAATATGCTGAGAGTAAATTTGCTGGTCATAGGTTTGTACAGGATTACTTTTAATAGATACTACAAAATTGTCCTTTAAATGAGTATATAATTTTTCATCTTCTTGGGTAGTGTGTTAGAATATCTGCTTTCCTAAAACCTTACCAATTCCTAATCTGAGCAACTTGAAATTTTTTTCAGTCCTATGAATATTATCTTATAATCATTTTAATTTGTAGTCCCTGATTAATAGTGAGTTTGAGCAATTTCTGTTTATTGAGTAATTGAAATTCTTGTTTAATAAATAGCATGTCAATTTCTTTAACTTTTTTTTTTTTCCTTCAGCAAGGGCTTTATTTATCAGAAGGGCATTACGCTTGACCTCCAAATTTGGCTGACAATTTACTGATGAGATTCATAACCTTTGAGTTGCTCTGGTATTTTGACATACTTGCTGGGTTCTGAGCCACATCCTGGAAGGCCACCATAACTTCTGGATCCTGCATGGCGGCAAGAACCTCTGGATCACTAAGAATTTCATTGAGTCCAGGCATTCCGGCCATTCCAGGCATGCCCCCTCCCATTCCAGGCATTCCTCCAGGAAAATTACCAGGCATTCTCCCAGGAAAGCCACCTGGAAAAGAGCCATACTGTGCTCCTGACTGTCGTCTGGCTTCTTCCTCCCTCTGGGCTCTCTCATGCTCCTCTTGAGCCTTCTTAACTCGTTCTGTTCTTTCTTTGATCTCTCGCTCTTCACGTTTTCGCTCATACTTTCTCCGATGTTCTGCAATTTTCTGTGCCCTAGGTTGAACTTCTTTCAGCATTGCACTAGCATCTTCATCATAATCCAATTTACAGGCAAGGGCAAGATCATGGGCTGCTTCTTCCTACTGGCCTAGAAGTCTGTGTGCTTTCGCCCGCCACTTGTAAGGCTGAGCTGAATCAGGATTTATTTCAATGGCTCTGTCACAGTCTTGGATGGCAGCACTTGGCTTCTGTAATTTGACGAAGACACTGGCCCTCTTGGCATACAAAATGGCCAAGCAAGGATTCAGCTTGATGGCATCTGTGAATAAGTCAATGGCTTTCTGGAGTTCACCATCGTTTAGGGCTTCAATAGCAGCCACTTTTTAATCATTTGCCTGATCCATCATCTCCTCCGTTATCTCCGCATTTTCATCTCCCATTTCTTAAGGAGCATCAGTGTCTGGTTCAATCACACCTTCTTTATCAATTTCTAGATCACTTTCTTCACTTGACGGTTCTTCTGCCTTTAAGTCTTCCTCCACCTTCTTACTGTCAGGTTTTTCTTCCTTGGTATTTTCTTCTGATTTAGCTTTCTGAGTAGCAGGTGGTACTTTACCTCCCATGCTCTCCACCCACTCCCTCAGGAAGCGCATTTCCTCGGTGTGCAGAACGCTCGGATCCTCCTTACACATTTTCACAAAGGCCCGAAGCTTGTTCACTTTGCGGGGGTCCATGGCAGGGAGGTGGTGGGCGAAGCTCAGGGGCTGCAGCCCGGTTCCAGGCCCAGGCGCTGGCTCAGCGTGACCACGCAGAAAGGGCTGTTTAACTACTTTCTTTAGATTTTTGTGTAATATTATTTGTTATCTATTGAGTAGATATTATGGAATGTTTATAACTGTGAAATATAAAAACATACAACAAATATCTATATGCTCCTCATACAGTCAAAGAGAAATAACATGACCTTTATATTTCAGAATTGCTCTTTACTCCTCTGGGATTCCATCCCATCGTGTCCACCGCTGCAGTAATTACTGTCCTAAATTTTGTGTCCCTGATTACCTTGCTTTTCACTATACTTTTATTGCATATCTTAGTATCACAGAAAAATGTATTATTTGGTTTTTTGTTTTTCAAATTTACGTAAGTGAAATAATGCTGCATATATTGCTCAAAATTTAGTTCTTGAAATTCACCCACATGGCTTGGCTATAGTTATGATTAACTCATTTTCCTTGCTATATGATATAAATAAGTGGAAATGTGTTTCCACATATCTATTCTATTGTTGATGGACATTTTGGTTGTGTCCAGTGCTTTGCTATAACAAACAGTGGAACAGTGGAACTTTGACTATTCTTGTACTTGTCTCCTGATGTGCATAGGAAGCACTTAACTAGATGGTATTTACTAGGGGTGGAATTCCTGTGTCACAACAACATTTCTACCTGTAGTATGTAAACAAATGTTCCAGCTGCTCCACATCCTTGCCCAAACTTGACATTTGTTGATTTATTTATTCATCCAACAAAAAGCAACTGAGGACCTACTGTGTGCCAGCTACTGTTGTAGGTGCTGGAGATGCAGTAGTGAACAAAACTGACAAGAAAACCTGCCTTTTTGGAACATAAATTATGAGGAAGAGCCAATAAACAAGACAAATAACTTAAACATCTAGTATATTAGATAGTTACAAGAGCTAAGGTAGAAAAAGAAAGCATAAAGGGAGATCAAATGTTGAGGTAGGTGTTGAAATTTTAGGTAGTGTACAACAAAGGTATCACTGAAAGGAGGCTTATTTGGCTTTTTCTTTCCCTAAAAAAATAAAACAGTGAGAGAGCAAGCCAGGTGGACATTTGGAAGAGGGACACTCTAGTTATAGTGAAGAGCAAGATAAAGACCCTGAGAAACATCAAGGAACCTAGAAAGGTTGGAGCAAGAAGTAGAATGGAAGAAGAGGAGATAAGTGTGGGAATCAGGAACCAGGTGACCTAGGAATGTACAAGACTTAACGATGATTCTGGCTTTTAGTTTGGAAGAAGAGAAGGCACTAGAGGGTTTTGAGGAATAAGGTGACATGATCTGATAATGCTTTAACACCATCATTCTAGCTACTCTATTAAGATAGGCCTAGAGAGGGTCAGGGCTGAAGTAGAAAGCCTGGTTAGAAGGTTATTGTCATAGTCCAAGTGGAAGATGTTAGTGGCCTGGACCAGCGTGGGGGCAATGGGGCGAGTGAGAAGAGACACAATTCTGTATATATTTTGAAAGTAGAGAGAGGTGAGAGGATTTTTTGAAGGACCAAAGTTGGGATGTAAGAGAAATAAATCAAATAAGACATCTGCATTTTTGGCCTGAACAAATAGAAGAATAGAATTGCTCCTAATGAGGAAGTTAATGCTTGAATAGGCGTTTGGGTGAGTGAATAGGGAGGAAAGGGGGAGGCAATTTTGGATGTGTGAAGTTTAAGATGCATAATAGATATAGAAGGCAAATGGATATGCAAGACTACAGATTAGGAGAAGACTCCAGGCTGGAGATGTATATTTGGAAACTATCAGTAAATAAGTGGTATTTAAATTCATGAGTCTAAATCAGATCATCTAGGAAATGAGTTTAGATAGAAAACAGAAGTCATCCAAGGGCATCCTATAGTCATAATTGCTAATATGGTGCTATGGACTGATGTTTGTGTCTCCTTGAAATTCATATGTTGAAGCACTCACTAATCCCTACTGTGATGGTATTCATTTGTGGGAGGAAGTAATTAAGTTTGAATGAGATCATGAGACAAAGCCCTTATTATGAGATTAGTGTCCTAATAAGAATAGAGTTGAGAGAGAGACCTGTCCTCTGTCCATCATGTGCGGATACAGCAACAAGGTAGCCACCTGCAAACCAGGAAGAGAGTCCTCACCAGATACAAATCTACCAGCACTTGGATCTTGGATTTAGAGTATAGAAATGTAAGACATAACTGTTGTTTAAACTACCCAGTGGTATTCTGTTATAGCAGTCCAAACTGATAAAGATAGTTAACAAATAGATCTTATAACATGCCAGGTCCTGTTATAATACTTTACACACAAACACATAACTCATTTAATTATCACAATAATTCCATTAGGTAGGAAGAATCATTAGCCTCACTTTACAGATGAGAAAACAAAAGCCCAAAGAGGTGCAGTGACTTTCCCAAGAGCACAAAACTAGTATATGGATCAGGGATCTGAACCCAGCTAGTCTGACTCCAGTCTGTGCTCTTAACCTTGTACTGTATATTTCATTTTTCCTAATCTAGTAGTTGTGGTTTAATTTGAACTCCCCACAGGACCACTGATGTTGAACATTTTATGATATACTGATGGCCGTTAAGATTTCCTCTCCTACGAAACACCTGCTCATTTATTTTGCTGATTTTTAAATTAATGGGTAGCTTATCTCCTATGGAACTGAAGTAATTCTTTATTCTGGACACTGATCCTTTGACAGTCATATGTCAAATGGCAAATTTTTCTCCTGTTTGTGACTAGAATTTATATCATTTTAAATTCTTTAATTATTTAAATTAAAATAACTTTGATGAGCAAAAGTTCTTTATTTTAAGGTAATCAAATTGACCAATCTTTTATAATGTTTTGTGCTTTAGAATTCTTTCCAAACTGAAATGATAAAGACTGTCTTCTAAACAATTTATGATTTTTGTTTTTCATATTTAAATCTTTAATAAAATCTAGGTAAATAAATGAGAACTAACCTATACTTATTGAGTCAAGATAGCAGCTACCCTTTTTCAGGGAGAAGGAAGGGGTCACTCAAAGGGGCCTGAAGGGGGCTTCTAGGAGGCTGGTAATGTTATACTTTGTGATCTGGATGCTGGTTATACAGTTGAGTTTAGTTTGTAAGAATTCAATAAGTTCCATACATATATGCGCTTTTCTTCATGTATAATTCAATAACAAGTTTAAAAAGTAAAATCTGACAGTGTTTCCCTTTTGATGTATGAGTTTAATTCATTTACAATTTTGTTTACTATTGATATATTTGAATTTATTTCTACCACATGCTTTCAAATTACTCTGCCTTTTTCTATACTTTTATATTTGTTGCTGTTTCCATTTCCTGCCTTCTTTTGTATTGATTAATTTTTTCTTTCTTATGTCTCCTCTGTGTAGAAAGTTATATATTCTATTTTGATACATGTATTTTCCTTGGGTGGATTACTCTTAATACCCCTTATAAGTACTCAAATTCCTTCAACCTGTTTGCTCTTTATTTGAATAATTCATTTCTTATGTTTTTGTTTTCATCTTTCATTTCTTTAAGTATATATATGCAAACTTTATAATCTTTAGTTATTATATTATATAAAAATCTTGAGGTCTAATTCTGTTGTTTGCCACTCTGCTGTCTCTCAATGATTTGTTTCCTTGCAGATTTTAGATTTTGGATTGTGAGCTCGTGTTGGTGGGGCTGTAGTGAAGGTGACATCTTTGTGCTCTTGGCTGAGACTGTGGTCTTCCAAAGATGCTTTTTGACTGTTTTAGCCAGTTGTTCCAAGAATACTTCCAACCTAAGATTCTGTTTGAAATTGATTTTTCAGTTTGTGTCTCTCGACCTCATAGCAATATAAACTTAAACCACAAACCTCATAGTCAAACTTGAGGTTTAAATTTCTTAGGAATACATCTTTCTCCATCTAAAACACACCAGTACTTTCTGAGATATCGTAGATACAGTTGCTCACATTTAAGAACTATTTACCAACAAATATATCCCAAAAATCAGACTTGAAAAGAGTTTAAAACCATTATTTGTATCCCTTTAATTCAATCCCTATTTATTTCTAAATATTAGTTGACTACCTTGTGCCAATATATACAATTCTTGCCTCCAAGGATTTATGGTCTTTTTACACAGAAATGCCCAAAATCTAATATGGCCACCACAACTTCTCCTTCCTATACTCATGACAGGCATTTAGTTGGTCCCAGCTCTTTTTCCATTGATTCTAGAAACTGTCACAGACTGCACCTTCACAACATACTATCACTTTATATGACTTGTCACTTGGCATCCCCTATCATCTCATCTTCCCTGTCTAGGAGCAAGATCTGTAGCATTTATATTCCCACCAAATATAAATAAACCAGCTTCCAAGATCACAAAAGACTGGGCATTTTCAAGGTGTCAGGAAAACAGCCAGACCTACTAAAGGCTTCCCTTTTCACCTTAACATCAGCCCTTGTATCTACCTATACTAAGACAACCTTGCCACCTCATGCCGTTATAATCAGTACACTAGAAAACTCTAAAAATATAAAAAACTGTAAGAGGAAATATGCTAAAAATTCCAATAAAACACACCCTAAATCATTACCCTGAAAAAGAGAGAAAGGTTAATAGAAAGAAGAGACAGGGTCTGCTAAGTATCTCATTAGGCCCACTGCCTGCCTCCCATTACATGCACCTCCTGATTCTCATTAGGCCTTCGTGATTTCATTTGGGTCCCAGGTCATTGCTTATTTTCATATGGGGACTATATAACAGGGTCTCTTCCAGTCCCAGAATCCCATGGGGAGAAAAAGAGAAAATGTCAATAATTAATGAGCTGTCAGGGAGAGAGAGCTTTAGCACCTCCAGAATCATATAAAAATTCCTAGTCCATTTGTCTTGGGAGTGACTAACAAAAGGCCAGCATTGAACTTTTTCGAATGAATTATTATTATTGTTATTATTTTTACAAAACAATGCTTAGCTTTGCTTTCAAAGTGTATGATTTTATAAGGCAGGAAGAAATCAACTTGTACATTGAAATGAAAAATCTGTATAGAAATAGCTTTTTGTCTTTTACAATACTCCAAGACCCTGAAGAACTTCATATTTTTGTTAATTTCAGAAAAAATCAATAAGTAAAAACAATTATATAATTAGTTTTATCAAAACTCCAAGCTAATCATAGTAATCACTCCTCCTCATAACTTGTACCTGTTAAGATCTCTTATACTTAGTGTTAAGTCATATAAAGAAAGTGTTGAGGTGGGAAGACACAGCGTGAATCCCAGCTCTTCGGTTGCATGCTGTGTGAACTTGTGAACTTGAAGTCCCAACGTCATTTTATGTAAAATTGGAGAATTTAATACCTACTGTGCAAACTTGTTATATACTTCCCTTTCTGGCAAACATGAAAGGATCGATGAAGGGTAATCATTATCATTATATTTTTCCATAATCCTCTTAATGTCCAGCCCATAGGGATTCCCAATTAATAATTGTTGGAAGACAATAAATCATGACAACATTGTGAATATTCTCTATACCTAAGGTAAGTAAGCAATAAAAATGTAATAAAATACTGATGGTAAATATATTTATTTTTAATTCCGCCATATAAGCTATATAAAACGAAGAAAGATTTGAATATAAATGTCTCTTCCACCTAAGTCAAACAATGATATCTAATGGTACTGTTATTTTCTGACATGCTGAAAGAACAGGATTCTGTGGTCCTTTCTGAATGTAGACTTTAATGCCTTAGCAGGTCAGATAGAAGACTGAGAAAGGAAGACCAGAATGTAGAAGGAAGATCAAGAAAGGGCTGGGTGTTTCAGAGAAACCAAGTGAAGAGAGGGGTTTTGAAGAATGCTCCTATTATCTACAATGAAAAATGCTACACTGAAGATAGAAAAAAAAAAAACTAAGAGAGATCTAACAGCCTGAAGAAACAAATATGGGGGTGGGGGATGGAAAGGATGACCCAACTCACTGAGATCCAAGACCCTGCTGAGATAGAAGAGGAGAGGGATAGAGGCTGAACTGAGATGGGAGATCAAGATTAATAGACTTCTTATCCAACTGATGGCCTCAGTTGTCTCTGTCAAGCTGAGGGCAAGATGGTCAGTGAATATGGCCAGGGAGAGATGAGAATAGAGAATATGCAGAGAGAGAAACAGATCAGCTTTAATAAACAGAGAAGATCGTGCCGTGACTACATTTTCTTTTTTATAGGTCAATGGCCATTTTGAAAATGTTTGACAGTACTAAAATCAGCTTATGCATATTTTTTTGAAATAAGGCCCTATAATTTAATCTACACTAAATCATTCAGACTTTCCAGAGCCCCTATCATTATGACTAATTTGTTTAGTTAGATTTCTTAAGAGTATACATCTCTATCAAGATGAAGCTATGATTTGAATATGGTTTGTCCCCACTAAAACTTATGTTGAGACTTGGTTCCCAGTGAGACAGTGTTGAAAGGTAGTGACTTTACGAAGTGATTAAAATGGATTAATGTCTATTTTTCAAGATTGGGTTAGTTCTCATGAGAATACGTTGTAATAAAGTGAGCCTGCCTCTCCTGTTTTGCTTCTTTGTACATGTCTATTTCTCCTTCTGCTTTTCTGCCATGTTACGATGCCATAGCATGAAGCCCACATCAGAAGCTAGCCAAAGATGACTGCCTGATCTTGGCCCTCCCAGCCTCTAGAATCATGAGCTAAAAAAGTCTTTCCCTTATAAATTATTCAGTCTCAAGTATTCTGTTATTGCAATGAAAAATAGACTAAGACAATGAACAAAACATATTGAATGCTATATAGATGTCAAAAGAAATAGCGAGCCTAGGCAAAATATGGGTTACCTATGTAAAAAATGCTAACCAAAGGAGGATGAAGTTAATTTAAGAACTAGTTCTTATCTTTTTTAGACTTATGTTAAATGTTATTTCTCTTTTTAAAATAAATTATCATTTAAATTAATACAGATCAACTATGAAAAGACCTCATTGTGAACAGTGAGGACAAAGCTTCTGTAAGCATTGATTATATGCCAAATGATATCCCTGTGTGAGGTAGATTCTATCTGATCCATTTTGTAGATGAAGCCTCTGTGGCTTAGGAAAGTTAAGTGACATATTCAAGATCACACAGCAACTAAGTGGCAAGTGTAGACTCTAATCTGGCTCTGTCAGCCTAGTGACTGATACTTTCTCTAGAAAGTGGAGGTAGCATATGAGTCTCATCTTCCCAATCATCCCACAAGCTGCCCTTCGCTCCATGTGTCTCCTGGGGAAGTATTTCATCATTTACTCTGGAAATAGCATTCAAATGTCATCACAACCTTGCAGCATATTTCTGAGTCTGTGAGTACCAAGGAACATGTTGTCCCTTTCAAACATGCCCCTTCACTTAGATAATGTCAGTGAGTTTTTGTGGAATCTGATTTAAATGTATGCGTAAACAGGAAAGAATGAAATAATCAAAATCCACAGGCTGTGAGAGAAGAAAAGTAAATGATATCTAGTTACATTTATTTGACCAATAATGACAAAAGAAAAAAGAGAAATTAAAATTAATGGGGAAATTCTTAGTTATAACTGTCAAGCAGACAGTGCAGGATACAAAATTGTACATATACAGTTTATTCTTGATAAATGAAATAGCTACAAAAGACTGGAAGGAAAAAAATGTCAAAATATTAGCAGTTACAGTGGTTGCCTTTAGGCAACAGAATTGTCCTTGAGTCTTATTACTCTGTTTTACATCTATGAATATACTATGCAGTAAAGTCATTTTTATAAACAGAAAGATATAACTAAATCAAAGCCATCATTGAAAGCTTTTGGCCAGTGGCTGTGATGTCTAGGTCTTTTAAATCCACAGGGGAAGCTAAACCCTCAAACCACAGTCACATCTTCTTGTTTGGGGAAGATAGTGGGCAAAGCAGATGCCTAGAAGCACCAAAAGGAAGTCTGGAGGGTTTGTTTTCTCCTTCCAAAGAAGGGAGCCATCTGCGTCTCTGCACATGGAAGTTTCAATTCATGTGTGTCACAGCCATGAGGACATGAATGGCTGCCCAGGAATGCTTAGGGGCAGGCTGCTCTGTGGGCATTTGGTAACACAAGAAAAGAGGTGGTAATAGCCCAGCAATTCCAGCTATTTTTAATGCAACTCCAAGCTAATATACTTACTTCCTACATTTTAGCATCTATGCCAGGTTTAAAGAAACAGACCTGCCCCTAATTTAAGAGAAGAAAGGCCCCCTCCTGTCCCCCAAATTGTCCCTGCCATCATCCTTCACAGTGCTGCTGCATCCTGCCTCCTCACAGCAGAGCTCACCTCGAGCAACCAATTCCATTTTAAGGAGACAGAGAACAATTTATTCAACTTCAATTTGCTGAGAGGAAAAACCTCCTATTCTCTAATATTAATTCTTGAAGCCGATTCAAAAACAATTTTTGTTCCTTGCCAGGGTTTGAGGCTTTGAAAGATATTAATGTAGACAGTCTTTGAAATATTAGGAGTTTGCAGCCATTGTGAGGATCCTGAAGTTAGCAAGCATAAAAGGAAGTCTTAGGGCAAAGTATATGTTATTCTGTGTGTTGAAATATATATCAAGCTTCTTGTGGGGTAAGGGGCTTGGGCACCCCTGGGGAACTGTGGACTATATATAGATAAGTGTGACATTCGTTTAAAGCCGATCTGCCCTGTGAGAATGATTAGGTTTACTGGAGAGCTCTATTCTTATTTTAAAGTAAGTTTTTTACATCTCTAGTTCTGAAACACCCTCTATGCAGTTTTAGACATATACGACTTGTCTAATCCACAAGCCTATAGAGAATAGTGATGAGATGATAGCACATTTCGGTGCCTGCATTTCTCTCTCAAAGATTCAATATTTTCATTTTAGCTTTTTATTTTTACCATTTTTCACAGATAGCATGTAATGTATCTCCACTGTTCTTCTTCAAGCTTTACGGTAAGATTCATAAACTTCAGCATTTTAACTGAACACATCAGTCATATTGAAGCACAGTACCTCTAATATGGTTAAAGTGTTTTATTGACACGTGACAAAACTTGACAACTTGTGTTTTTTATTATTAGAATTTTCTAATGGTTCAGGAGAGTAAAAATTAGATAACAGTAGCACAAGGTTGAAGGAACTTCATTAGGTTGAGTTTGTTTTTTCACTTACTTGACTAGTTGTCTTTGTGCCACATAGTATGTGCTTAGTGGCATTGTGTCAAAATTTGTCAGGTCTCATACAATGAAGATATTCCTATAGATTCCCTGCTTCAGTCCATCTTATATTTTATCTTTCTAAAACACAGATGTGCTCATGCCATTGCTTGTAAATCTTGGTTGGTTCCTTCCTGTCTACCGAAGGAAAGCCAAACTGCTTAGCACCACATTCAAGACTCAAGACTCTTCAAGACTTAGCAATAGGTCCACATCCCTCCCAATGTTTAACCCTTCTTCCCTCAGTGCCTCAGCAGTGGGGCACAACCAAAGGGCTATGAGGACCACAGAGAAGACTGCTTTGCAGGAAGCAGTGGTCCAGGTAGAGGTAAGGGGCAGGATTAGTAGGACAGAGCATGGCACTTGATGTCAAGAACTGGGTAGTGTGCACTTGGAACAAGGTGAGAGGCATTGTCACCAGGCTAGGCTGGATCGTGATACAGCCAAGGCTAATTGGCTGTAACTGAAAGTAGATCTTTGGAGAGTAGGAGTTGGAGGAGAAGGAAGAACACTGAAAGCCAGAGAGAAATGGAGAAAATCATTTCCATGTCTTTTCCTCCAGGAACCACTTCCATAGGCAGGCTTTGCAGGAATGACAGTTACTCAATGTAGAGAAAACTGGATATCCCTCTTTTAGACTTATTTTGGGCTCAGATTCCTGTGTTCAGCTTTTTGCTCCACCATTATAGGCTCTGTGACCTCAGTCAGGTTACTTTGCTTTTCTGTGCCTCCTTTTAGCGGCCAGCAAAATGGAGGTAAGAATTATTGTTGGAATTAAGAATTATTAGAAGAATTCAGCATTATTGGAAAGATTAAACCAATTAACTCAGTTGTCTGTACATGATAGGCCCTCAATAAATCTTACCTAGTATTATGATGAGTTTGGAAATTTTTTCCTTTACACATTTAGGAAATAAGAAAGTACAGAAAGCAGAATTTGACTGCAGTGTGATAAGTGGGTGATCAACAAATCTAAGTTTGCTGTGATCTTTTCCCGTTTTAGCACTGAAAGTCCTCTATCCCGGTAGTAGTTGGTCACCCTATAACCCTATGAACAACTCTGTGAGGGTGGGAACTCTTTGCAAACAGAACATCAAGCTGCTTAGCACCATGAAAACAGCTGAATCACACAAAATTACCTTTTCTATAAGGTCTAAACTATCAAATAGCAGCAATTTCATATGGTCTGATCAAGTAAAAAGTCCTAGAAGAAGGCAAAGGAGAATAAGCCACCTTCTATACATTAACTCATGCCTGGGTATTTTTGTCCTTCTAGCTCAAAAGTAAAAAAAAAAAAGTGTGACAAATATGTCTTAAGTACTTACTGTGTGCCAGGCATCAGACTATCTGATAGGTCAGGAGTTTATTATCTTTACTTTGATTGATCTTCATGACTTATAAGTTAAGAGGACCAACAATATGAAATAGTGGAAATGTGAAGCCATCAAGAGCATTAACTCTAAACAGAAGGAAATAAGTCTAAAGGAGAATGTGTGTATCTTACAGATGAGAGGGACAGTGCCGGTGCCATGTGGGAGGAGACAGAGCTGCAGATGAGGAGGGTGAGTTACCCTGTGCCAACAACAGCGGGGTGAGCTAAGGTGCTTGAGGGTAGAGACGCAGTCAAGCCTCTCAAGCAAAAAATGCAGCAGCTAATTTCAGAGTGGGAAATGCCCCTCTGGGAGGAAGTCAACATCTTATGATCAGAACCGCAATACTGAGATAGCTAAGAAAACACAAATTCAACTTTTAAAACGTTTTTATAAAAACACTGGAGAGAGAAAAAGTCCAAGTTCACTTTGGCTTTTGGAAGAGACCCAGAGGATTTCTTAATTCATCTGAAGCATTTTGGCCTGAGTTCTATTAAAACATTTTTAATTCTTTGATATGTAATCCTCTCTAGGGGTGTGGATAAAACAAGGGCATTATGAAGTTTTGTTTAGGGAATGTCATCCCATGAAAGTATTTGCCAGTGGATTTTGGAAGGATTCAACACTGTTTTGTTGGATGGTTTTATATACCAGGTGAATTGAACACATGAGAGCAGGGATTTTTACTCAAGAAAACTTGAGAAGAACTGTAACAAAGGGAAGAGAATAGAAGTCATAGTTTTCAATTCCAAGGACTCAGTAACCCATCAATGATTACTGGCTTCTAGGGAGAGAGTTAGATACCGAGTATTTTGTTAAATGTTTTACATTTATATAAATGTATATAGTACTTATTCATATTTTATAAAGTCATTGATATGTACACCGAAAAGAGAAGAATTGAAAAATGGAAGACTAGGAAGATTGGACACTGTATCTGATGCTGTATTTCCAGTAAATTTAGCAAATAAAAAGTCTATCAAAGGAGTGCCCTATTTTGTTTCTGAATTTCAGATGAGCAGAACAGAAGCCACTCCTATGACTCTAGGACGGAAGAATGAGAATGAGGAAACTGGGGTTGTGCTTGCCTGGAGTCTAACCCGTGCACCACCTGTTATTAGAACCCTGGGAAAGCAGCCTACCATCCAGTTTTAGGTTTGGCTTGTTGAAGCTATTGACGTTGTAGCATGCACTGTACTGAGGGAAGGGAAGGGATACCTGGCTTTGAGTTTAGAGGGCTGTGGCTAACAAGTGGCTATAAGCAAATGAATTATCATGCCTAATAAAATATTCAAGTGATAATTACTAAGTTAGTGAGAGAGTTTGGCTGTGTCCCCACACAAATCTCATCTTGTATTGAAGCTCCCATGATTCCCACATATTGTGGGGGGGACCCGGTGAGAGATAATTGAATCATGGGGGCTGTTTCCCCCATACTGTTCTCCTGGTAGTGAATAAGTCTCACGAGAACTGATGGTTTTATAAAGGGAAACCCCTTTCGCTTGGCTATCATTCTCTCTCCTGCTTGCCACAGTGTAAGACTTGCCTTTTGCCTTCTGCCATGATTGTGAGGCCTCCCTAGCCACGCAGAGCTGTGAGTCCATTAAACCTCTTTTCCTTTATTATAAATTACCCAGTGTTGGGTATGTCTTTATCAGCAGCGTGAAAACAGACTAATACAGTTAGTAAGGAAAAACCTTGACCAAATGGAAAAGTGTGCATGCATTATCTCAAGTCCATCAGAAATCTGAAAAACAAAACAAAACAAAACAAACAAACAAACAAACAAAAACCAAAAACACTATTCAAATAGTTTTTGCAACATGAAGAAAAAGGAGACAAAATCAGACAACTGATAAGGGTTGGATCTGGCTTCTCACTGTTCTGTCAAGATGGGAGTTTCTGATTTAACCAGTGTCATATTGGTGGCTACTCTAACTGAATTCATTGAAAAATTGCCATAATGTGATTCAGGATTTGCCTCTGTCAACTTACCTCCTTTTAGCATTTTATGTTTTAGTTCATAGAATAAAATAATCCCATTATAGATAAGAAGCTTGAACTGCGAGATATAATTATGAGTCCTAATTCCAGCACTCAGAAAAAACACAACAAAATAACTGAAACAAAACCTAACATGCATATAGTGCTCATTATGAGCCACAAACATTTTGTAAAAACTAATGCATGAAAACTAATTTAATCTTTACAACACTATTCATTCAACAACAGCTATTTGGTGAGTACTTTTATAGATTCTGGTGCCATGAAATAGAAGCTATCATTATCCCCATTTATGAGTGAATCTGATACATCAACTCATGCCTCCGCTTGAGCATTTTGGCCTTACTTAGCTCTTGAGATTTCAAATGCTCCCCTGGCAAGGAAAGCAAACCACATCCCCAAATTTCCTTTATCCTGATCTTCATTTATAAGCCTCTAGAGACCCTGGTGAATAGAGCTGAATTTTATTTATTTGAGTTCATCTCAGAACAGTGGTAGGGCATCTTTTCATGTCTTTGGAGACAGAGATTCACATGAGGGAGAGAAGAAGCTAAAACCATGAGCCATCACAGAGTACATCTTCCTGCTGGAAGCAGCACTAAATCAAATAAGACATAATGTATAGGAAGTTTGTCTTAAAAACCTTTAGGAAGAAGGCAGTCTACACAAATCTTCACTGAGTTCCTTCTCATTTCCTCTTTCTTGTTGTATAATACAATATGTGGGTGTAAATTAAGAGAAACATTAGGAAAAATAAGACCAAATAATCTAGGTAATTGTTATTTAACATGTATGAATCTCATTTTAATGAAAGAGAACAATATCATGGCCTATGACATAGTAAGTTTAAAAAGCTAAAAACAAAACAATAAGGTAAAAAGTAAACAGAAATAAACTTACGTGTAGGGACGGTTCTCAAAGTATGACTTATTGACCTCTGAGACTCCCTGAGACTCTTACAGGTAGCTCATGAAGTTAACATGATTTTCAGACTGTTACTAAGACATCCTTTGATTTGTTCATTCTCATTCTATCCTGAGGATACAATGGAGGTTTCCAGAGGCTACATAATGCGTGATAATCACAACTGATTGAATGCAGAAGCAAATCTGATAATCCAGCTGCCTTCCATTAAACCAGAAATAAAAGAAATTTGCAAAAATAGAAAGTGTGATTTATGTTAACATGCAATGGATTTATCATTATTTTAAAATAAATTACTAAATATTTCTAAAATCCTCATTTTAAGTGTCTAATATGATAAACATTGATACATGTAATCAGTGGTATGCTGCTAGATGTTTAACAACTGGCTCTCTGGGGGGACAGGGAGAGCCCTGATTTGTAGTGCAAGCTGATTCCATGATGTAAATATTCCCACGATGGCAGATTTCAAGCTACCACTGAACCTGGTGTAGAGAGCTGGTTCCAGCTGGCTCCAGCACACTACTGGATATAATTCATACAAACAAAAACTCTTTGGGGCCTCAATAGTTTCTAGAAGTGTAAAGAGGTCCTGTTATCAAAAAGCTTGACAACTACCAATTATAGTATAATCACTTTTTTTGTTTAAAAATATCAATGGATATATACTTCTAAAAAGATATACACCAGTCTCTAATACAGCAGTTACTTCTTGAGTGGGGAAACTTAAATTTTACTTTACAAGCTTTTGTACCACGAATTTTTATAAAAATCATGAAACTCGAATATAAAAAGGAAAAAAACCCTCATTTTAAGGTTCAGAACTTGCTCAGAGACCTCTGGTCCTCAGTTTTCAAACGGTAAAATGTAGCCGACATGGGCTAGTTTGAGTAATGGGATTTCTTCCAGCCCTATAACTCTATGATTTAATGATATTTCCACTCATTCTGGTACATATCTCACTTAGATAATCACTTTAGGGATGCTAGGGCCCTTCAGTCCCTCAAGTGACCCAGGATCTCCCCTGTGATGAGGCCTCTGCCTGCAATGCTCTCATTCTTGCCAACGCCTTTTGCCTGTTCACACCTAATTATTCTTTAGGTCTCAGCTGAAGAGTCTCTTCTCAAGGACTTCTCTATTGGGGTCCTTTGTTATATAGCCCCAGAGAACCCTGTTACTCCCCTCAGAGAACTTAATCCTGTGTTGTGTGGGCCCCAAGGGGAGCAGGGCCCATGGAGGTTTTCACTAACTGCCCATGTGGGCCCAGGCCTGTACAGAGAACATTGCAACTCATTTATTCACCCACAAATAAAAAGTGATGACCTACATGTGCTGGGCACATTTCTAGACACTGCAATATAGCTGTGAACAAACCAGACCAAGTCCCTGCTCTCGTGGGGCTGACATGCCCTGGCTCACAGCGACCTGGGGGCCTTGCTCCAGGACATACCACAAATACACGAGCAGACCCAGGCTGAGAACCCAGGTCTTCCACATCTAGTGCTTGTCCTCCTACTTGCCTTAATTCCCAGATGCTGAGGTTCTATGAAGACTGACCTCAAGACACACAGGATAATTCAATATTTGTATCCTTTGACTTCTGGTAGGCATTAGGCCAGGTATTAATAATTCCAGAAGTCATAGATCCAAAGCAGAAGAGGCTCCAAAAAAGATGAAGACACAAAAATTTGGAAAAATGCAATAAGTGAGGCCACACAGATGAAGTAGTCAGACACATGAGCATACCATATGTGAAACACAGCAAAGCTGACCTTTGTTGTGTTACTGATGCATAACCATAAAAAAACCCTACATCTTTAGATATCATATATCAGAATCATTTGGAGGTAAGGGTATTTTTAAAAATGTGTCTGAGAAAGAGAGAGAAAGAATTTAAATAGGCCATTGTTGCAAATGCCTCTGTCAGGGAAAGGTCTTTGTAGTTAAAGTGAAATGGCATTTCTTTGTTAATGAGGGGAACATTTATGAAAAGCTCTATGCACATTTTTCAGAAAATAATAATGTAGATATCTCCTACAATGCAATACATTTCTAGGTTTAGTCCACCTAACCTGTTGTCTAAAATATAATGCAGTTTCTAACATAAGCATCCATGAATAAATTGAGTCATATCTTGCAAGTTGGAATAATTTACAAAGCTATGGCAAATGCTTTTATTAAAGATTTCATATGGTAAAAAGTGGGTATAATAATCACCTTGCCCATATTTCACTTAAAAACTGTTTATGGGAAGAAAGCCCACATTTTATACATTGAAAATTAATCCAGTTATTAGATGATACTTTGAAACTCAAGACCAGTTTATAGTAATTATATTAATTAAAAGATAATAATGTTTCATGAATCAGGCAAATCTGGAAGTCAAAGGAATATAAAAAAGGATGCTTTGGTGCTTTTTGAAATTTGAAAATAAATTCTAAAATGATTTTAAATAATGTGTAACTTCTACCCAGCAAAGCTACAAATCAAATCAATTCTCTGTTCACCTAGGTCAAAGTTAAAAAAGTGTGACCATGAAGTTTGATGGCCTGTACAATGTGAATATTTTATACTGGTTTCCTCAAAATGGCTGCCCAGAAGTCTGACATTCATTCCTGTGCTAATTGCTCTCTCCTGGAGCTCACTGCATTAGATGCCTCACCCAGAGCTCTGGAACTGCTACTCTCCAGGGTCAGGCAATGATGCTGCTTGGATACAGATGGTGGGATTTTTTTTTAGCAGGCAGACCACTGGCTGATGTTAAGCTTCAGGGCATTTTGATACACAAGGTTTGGGTTTACTCCCAGGAAGTGTCAGAAGGGCAGAGCTGGGGTCCTGGCACCTACCTGCGCCCCATGTGCTGACCAACAGGGCAGATTTAATAATTTCTTAATGACCCAAGTGGGTGCTAGGCTTGATGTCTGGAAACTCTGGTCAACAAGTTGGGATGCTGAATAGCGGGATCAAAAAGATGTATTTGGATAAATACATTCAGTTTGGCTTGAGATTTTCTTTAAATTGCAACACTTACTGAAGTCATTGGGAAACTATACACCTAACATTTTGCTTTAGAAAAAACCTTAAAAACAGTCACTTTTTTGTACTCTGTGGCATAAGCTGAAGCTTTTGATGCAATTTAAAATCAAGCATTTTTTTCTCCCAAATAGAATTCCAAGGTTGAGGCCTTAAAAAAAGTGATAGAAAAAGTAACTTTGATCACATGAATCATATACATGTTTGGGTGGACAACAGAAATTAAACCATTCTTCTTTTAAAAGGAGATCTGGTACCTAATTCCTATATGTTACCACTTAAATCATAATCCTTGACTAAAGAAAACATTCAGGAAAGAATAACTTAAAAGCACTGAGAAGGCATATTCAAGTCGAAGTAAAATTAAGCTACTGAAGAATAGACAGACTGGAGCAAGTCTTAAAGACAGGTTAAAACACTTTAGAGTTCTTTCATGAAAGTTGGAATATTTTCTATATCACAAAATCCACTAGTATATAATGTTTCTGAACAGAAAGATACATGTTAAAAGCTAAAAACGAGTCAGGTCATATCTTTTTGCTTTCTGACAACGATATCAGAGCAGTATATTTTAATGTCCAGTTGAACATTATCAGTAAATTTACTTTCTTTATTTTTTGTTTGTTTAACTTTGGAAAACATTGTGTAACTTGCTTAATATTAAGCAGCAAAATGCACTTTTGGAAATAGGATTTTCTTTATCTATTACCAACGAGTTTAATATGTTCCTTATGGTGATAAGAGATTTTACAGTACTTTCGACTTAAGATACAAAGGTGCTTTTCACTGGGGAAGGGATTTGGTAGTAGAATAAGGTATTCTAAGATGAATGCTCTTGAGAATGTTAAAGATTCTACAATTCGTAACCCAAATATATATAATAATATTTTCACATAGATTATAACTTTAAATACACATTTGATTCTTCTTTACATATTTACTCCATTATATATAAAATGTTCCACCCATACACAGTCCTGAACATTATCAAAGTGTACCTTAGCCATAGTTTCTAAGAAATAGACAAGATGAGTTTTCTCCTAATTCACACATGGTAGAGAATGCTAATTAGAAACACAGCTGATGAGATTTCATTACAGTCTCTTAAACCTCCAGAGAATTGACACTGAGAAGATACTACTCATTGGGGCGCCAAATAATTGTAGGTGGGGAAAAAGTGAAGAAATTTTACTGTTTTCTAGAATTATCTATGGCATAATAGAATAGATAGCAAAGGTTCCTATAGATTCTATACCTAGTAACTTTCCAGATGTGTTTCATGAAATGCATCATATGTAAATTACTATATGAAACTGAAACTGGAAAGTGAGAGGTAAGCTGGAGGTTACTTTTGACTCAATAGAGATGAAAGAAAAGCAGCTGGGTGAGGTGGGTAAAGAACTGGACTTGGAATCAGTTCCAGTCCCATTTTCCCACCCATGTTTACTTGTGTAGACCCATGTAAATTACTTATTCTCTCTCCATCCCAGCTTCCTCCTCAGTAAAATAGTTGCCAATAATAGCCCGCTGGTTATTGTGAGGGTCAAAGGTACTAATTTTCACTAACTGGCACCTATTAGTCCATAAATATTAACCAAATTTGTATTTTACTAAGTTTAAAATCAAAGAAGTGAAAGTAGATTCCCATTTTTTAATGTAGCCTAACAGTTTTACATGCTGCGATTACTACAATGAATCTGTGCATCTTAAAGTGAAACCTCCATTTGTGAGCTTCAGGCAGGCAAGCAAGTCACTGTAGAAGGGAGCTTGACAATTGTTCTTTTTGGTTTTGACTGTGGGACTGCCTTCCCATATCTGAGAACTGTGGGAATACTTATTTGGGTAATGTCTTAGAAACACCCTGCCTGTGAATATAAATGTACTTATACAAATAGCCAAATCTTGATAGTTCTAAGTCTCCACCTACTCACACAGAATATAAAATCCCTTGCAGAGTTTTCTTTTCTCTTAAATATTTACAGGACTCCCCAAAGGGATCTTCATGAGTGACATTACTGTGCCCTAGGTCACTGGTTCTCAAGCGCTGCTGCATATTAGAACCATCTGGGAAGCTGGAAACAATCCTGCTGCCCACGCTGCACCTCCTGCCAATTGCATCAGAATCTCTGGGGGAGCCACTGGCCAGCAAGATTTTTTAAACTCTCTAGAGTCCCAAGTCCCAAGCCTATCAGCATGTGGTTTCCCCTTGAACTCACTTGGACAGTTTGGCTCTGATCTGCTGAATCCAAAACCACACCTGCAAAATGACAGGACCTCAGCATCTGGTGTCCAGCATCTGGTGTCTTTCTAGATGCTCAACTCTGGCCACTCTTTAGAATCACTTAGGTAGAGTTTAAAATACTGCAGCTGAGGTCCCACTCCAGACTAAATAAATTAGAAATCCTGGGCATGGAGCCCGGGTATCTGGGACTTGTAAAAAATTCTAACATGCACCCAGGATTGAGCATTACTGCTCTGGGAGTTTCCAAGAGGAGGGAGCTGGGTGGCATGTGTTGTCAGAGCCTGGAGCTGCCCATCCCTCAGCTGCCTGCACCAACCTGCCCTTGCTGGGTTCCAACTGCAGCCTGTGCTCCCTCCCCACTGCTGCCCACTCTGCTGCCACCTGCCACCTGCAATTTCAGGACTGCCTCACTCCTTAGAGTATCTGCTATGTTTTCTGCCTCTGGCAGCTTAAGCTCCATCTTTGACTGTCTGTCTTGGCTACTTATTTCTCTTCAATTAGCAGGAAGGTACTTCATTTTTATGTGTTCAGTTCTTTCAGAGATGGTCCCTTAGAGTTGAGCATCCACTCAAATTCTTTCAAGTTTACATCTCAGCATTCCGGGGATGGGGTGGGCTCCAGCAGGGTCACTTGTGTTCCCAGGGAAACAATTTACTCCCCCCGAAACTTTACCATTTAGTGCCTCCCTTTCTCAGAGTGCAAGCATACCAGCAGGCAGGTGGGTTGGGAGGGCCAGCTTCATTCTCACAGTGTCCCACAACAGGATGCTGGCCCTCAGGCTACATCAAACTCCTTTCCATTTATAGGAATTTTCCTCTTAAAGGTTTAGTTATCTTTTCCTGTGTCTGACTTCTTTCATTAGCTTCTTTTCACACATATATCACTACATGTCTAAATCCCAATTATGGATGAAATCCAAATTCCTTCTTTTGGGTTGCCTAGGCCTTAGGTCCATGAACATTCTGGAACCTATAATAAAGTGTTTTCTGCCTAGAACATAGGGAATATCCTTAAAGAGTGATGTTGCCTTATTCTACAGGCCAGTATATCCAAGTCCTACAAACAGCCCAGAAATTACATGAAACATTTGGCAGGGTCAAATGAGGAAGAAAATGTTCCCTTAAATCAGACTATATTTTTTCCCTGGAAGGTTAGATTGTCTCAAACTCTTTTAGTCTCTAGTATGCTTGGATGAAGCAAAAGACCCCTATAGACCTCAACTTGGTACTATAAGAGCAAGCCAAAACCCAAACAATAAATCAGTACAAAGGGGAAGAATAGTAGTGTTTTCCCTAGGGGATACTGCAAATTATTAAGTTATGCCAGAAATGAATACAGGCAGTGTCGTAATAATGGATCACTATGACACCAGCCTGCAGACCACCATTTAAGAACACCTGAATAAGGACATAAAAAGTTAAAACATAATTTCTTTTGTGGCCCTAGGGAAGACCTCGGCACTAGTCACAGAACTTCACATTAACCATCCAGAAACCTGGTGTGTCAGAATTCAGAATACTGAAACTCTGCCAGGACTCATTCCAAGTGCTAGCTCTGATCTCTGTGTGCCTGTCTGTTTCTAGTTGGCCAAGAGATCTTCTATCCCGGCCCTACGTTATAGGCCCCCATACTATAATCAGAGCAACATCTTCAGAAAGAGAAAGCAAGTCAAGGGCTAGGGTATGAAGCAATTGTCCTGGAAACCCCAAATCACACTTTCTCCAGATGTGAGTCTCAATGATCATGTTTTCACAGATCTCTAGGGGAAAAGAACTGTGTGAATTCATATACTTACAGTGACTAAGGCAAGGTTAGACATTCTTTCCTAACAGAAGCATTCCTTTATTTTTCAACAGGGATCTTTTCCCTTCCTGTTTGTTCTTGAAAATTTAATTTGAACAAAGCAAGGCACAGCACAAACAAGGAAAAGAAACCTGTTTTAAAGCAGAGATTTTTTTTTTAACAGTTAGAACCAGTGGAAAAATACAACAGTAATAGTTTGTTACCTAGGTATTCACTGTTGAGGCAGGTCTATCATAACAGTTTATTCTCCCTTAAGAAGAGATTGGTCACAGCTGATTCCAATCAAGTCCTTTTTCAATGTAACCCAGAGCAATTGTATTAAGTGACTCTCCTAAAACCAAACTCTTGTTCTCACTTGTTAGATTTCCCTCTCGGGTACTTTATTAGGAGTTATATATCATATCTCCACTGATAGGATTCTTTGGATTTTTGAGCTGTGCCTCCAGAAGCAATTCAATTTCTTTTCTGAAGGAATTGCACAAAGACTTAACGTTTTATTAAATACATTTGCTGCATCTTTCAAGATTATTAAGGAAATGGCATCCTTAAATTTGGCAACATTCTTTAACAAACACATGCTCAGGCACACATATTCAGCCTTGATGTTTTCTGCATTGCATCAATAAAATTTAATTGAAATAAGTAGAAAAATTACAGTAATTTCCATTTATCATTCTAAAATGCCATTATGAGACTGAAGCCCTTCATACTTACACCTATCAAACAGGATGATAAAACTGTAATGGGCTATTAAAGGGGGTTATGCCATTGCCATCCTTAGAAATTTTAAGGTAATAGTGGGCGACCATCTGTCTTGAGTGTTATCAAAGCAGGTACCAGGCCAGCTGATCTCCTAAATTCCATTCATATAAAATTTTCCATTATGCATTGAATCAGATCCATACATAGAAGGACATGAAATTTATATGTTGATATCCAAGCTTTGATGATGGTAGTTTTTGTTTTCTAAAAGTGAAAAATTAAGAGAGAGAGAGAGAGAGAGAGTGTGCAAGTGAGCACTATCTTTTTAAGGAGTTGGGGCTCTACATAGTGAGAAAGAATACAAAACCATGATTTGGGGGAAAATATAATAAAGAAAATTAATATTTAGAAAAGGCTAAATGAGGTAAGTATACTTTCTTAGGGCTTGGTGGGGATGAGAAAGAAAAATTAAGGGAAGATTTTGGAGACTTGTTAGTAAGACATTTAAAGGTAAATTAGTATGTGCCACCAAGACATTGCCTATTGGGTAGAGATAGTCTTGGGAGGTGACTCTGATACAGAGCCTTTTATGATGGTGATAAAGAAGCAGAATAAAACAACAATAACATTGTTCAAGTACTCTTAGTTATGTAGAATGCTGATGAATCCTGAAGAAAGCAAGCCAGCAGAGGCAAAACAGAATAATATCTGTCATAAGATAAATAGGTGAACAGGATAGATGATGAGACAGCACCAATATTTTGGTGAAAAAAGAAAAGACTATTCTTGGCTCTACCTATTAAGGCCCTCTCAGGGTTGTAGTAAAGCAGGGAAATAAAAAAATGGAGGAGAGTGGTGATCTGCAGGAACGGAGTTCCCTTCATCATCCTCTGTTAAGGGGACAGGGAAGAAAAACAGAAAGCCCAAGGAGAGGAAGAAGAATGGATTAGTGATAAAAGGATAAAACAATAGAATGCATAAATAAATTGAAAATGATCAGGATCACGTGTAAAGTTTCATAAATTTAATAAAAGGGGAAAATACATGCATGCAATTTTCTGTAAGAAAAGGTCTATACTCAAATACATACAAAGGACATTAAAAACAACGAGTTGTGATGCACTACTCTATTCTTTGTGTGGCCTTAACTTCTCTAAGACTATAAAATCTGATTAATAATAGTCTTCACCTTGTAGATTTTATGTGAACATTAATAAGAATAACTTATATGAAACATATATGTTCAGTGCCTGACACATTATAGTGTTCAACAATTGTTGATACTAAATTTTTTAAAACCTGGGTAGGATAGATGGTTTACTAAGAAAATGGATATGGCTAAAATTGAATGAAGAAGCAGAAAACCTAAATATTCAACCATATACGAAATTAAAAGCACTATCAAACAATTTCTTCCAAAAATGGCATTGGGTCTCCTGGTACTTTAAAATGTCCACAAATTATTTGACACCCCTTCCCCCACCACCACTTCAAAATGTAAATGAATTAATCCCCTCCCATTGCTCATGGTCCAATTTTACGGAATCGATTCTAACAAATAGAATATGGCAGAAATGACAGTAAACAACTTTAGAGACTAGTTAATCAGAACCATTGCTTCTGTCTTTTTGCTCTCTCTGGTTTCACTTGCTCTGGGCAAAGTAAGCTTTCACATCACGAGGACACCCAAGCAGCCCGATGGAGGACACAGGTGGAAGAACTGAGGTCTTCTGCCAACAGCCACGTAAATGAGGCTCTTGGAGAGAATTCTCTAGCCCCAGCCAAACCTTGAGACACGGAAGCCCTGATCAACAATTTGTCAGCAACCTCACGAGACCCTGAGCCAAAGCCACCCAGCAAAGCTGATACTCCTGGATTCCAGGACTTCACAAACTATACGAAATAATAATACAAGTTTGTTGTTTAAAGCTGCTAAATTTGGGAGTAATTTGTTACACAGCAATATATAACAAATATACCAAATGTTTTTAGAGGCAGGTGCTGTGTATTTTTAATTGACAGTGCATATCCCTTGAGCAATGACCCATGTCCAGGTTGACCCTGGGTTGGAAAACTGGTCCAAGCCCTTGAAGTCATTGAATTTCCCTGGGTTTCAGTTTCCTCCAATAAAATTCTGGGTTCAAAAGTTTATAGTTTCCCTTAGCTCTGAACTTCTTTGATTTCATGACTTAAAATTTCCAACTGCAATTATATGCTATGATAAACAGATTTGTGGGTGAGAGAGTAGGACAGATTTAACTGAGAAGTTATAGTCCAACTACAGCTTTGTCAGATAAAAAATTTACATAAAATATTTTCAAGGAGAAACATGGATGTCTTACTTATCTTTATTTCTCCCTGGGTCCCAGTACCCAGGACATAGAAGGTACCCACTATTGAAGGTGCCAAATATTTATCTGTGGCTCCTACTATAATATATGTTGGTCGTGGAGTAAAGGCTTCTCAAGTAGGGAAATAATTCTTTCTGGGCACTGAAAGTACAAGGTGTTCTTGCCATGATGTGGGAGCTCCACTATCATTAGCATTTAAAAGGAAACACATATTAGCTGAACTACTAAATGTCCTTTATACAATATAATGAGTTTCATTGAAAAGAATCACCAGCTTAGCTAAGGAGAAATTTAAACACTTTGCCATCATTTATAAATTCAACCCTTCTAGGATGGTATTTTTAAAGATATTTTGAATGACGGAGAGAAGAAAAGTGGTAGAACTCTTTACAAAAGAAATGTAATTAGAGTAATAAAAAAAGGCAATTCTATGCTTTATGAAGATATCTTTGATCTTCTCGGAAGCCAGGGAGGCAGAGGCATTGTTGCCCATGACATTCTCTCTCCACTGTGCCTTGGAACAGGTAACTGGGATGGAAAGTGACTGCTTTTGTTAAAAGAAATAGAAAAAAATGCACAAAACCAAATCAAAAACCCACTGTAATGCAAATCAATAAGGCATGGACACACTGCAGGAAACACGCAAGTAATGGAATTGTACTTCATCTTTCTTTCAATATATCAAGATTACCCTAGACATTTGCCTTACGCATCCAACTCATTAAATTTAAATTAATGCATCATATCAGAACTAAATAAAACCATTAATTAGCATATATTCTCTTCTCTATTTTTTATCTTGGAATGTTAATGGTCATAATTCATTCACTCATTAATTTATTAATTCAGAAAGAATTTATCTAGCTCCTAAGTTCAAGGCAAAATCAGACAGTAAATTTCCATAAACTTTTCATATAGACCACAATATCCTAAGAGGTTAAACAGGACAAAAATATGTCTGGAGTCACAGAAGGTTAAGATAAATTTAGATGTTACATATGTACAGAGTTTACTAAAAAGAAGTGTGGTGAGTGTTAAGACTGATGTCCTGGAAGTCACTTACCATGTTTTCTCATAACTAACCCTTAAAACCACTAATAGAGACAAAAATACTATGAATTGTCCAGTTTTTCCTCAATGATGCTATCATGGTTATCTTTGTAAGACAGAAATCTGATTATTATCATTATCTCTATGCCTAAAAGGCTTAACCAATTATTACCCTTATAGGATAGAATTCTTCCAAGGGGAGCATACTGGGACAGTAAAATGTTCATCTGGACTTACCTTTCCTTTTTCATTCTCAGCTGTCTTCCACACGCTTCCCTTCAGTGCCCCCTAACCTATACCAGCGGCCCACCCCTAACTATTTCTCTGAGGCAACCTGGGACCTAGTCACAGTGTGTTACCTCTGTTTCTGGGACTTGTCAAGCTTTTTTTTTTTTTCTTCTATTTTTATTTTAGATTGAAGGACTACACGTGTACTTTTGTTACATGGCATATTGCATGATGCTGAAGTTAGGGGTACGGCTGATCCTGTCACCTAGGTAGTGAGCATAGTACACAGTAGTTGTATTGTCAACCCTTACACTTTCCCTCCCTGCCTTCTAGTAGCTCTTAGTGTCTACTGTTGCCATCTTTATGTCCATGAGTGCCCAACGTTTATCTCCCATTTACAGATGAGAACATGTGGTATTTGGTTTTCTGTTCCTGTGTTAATTTGCTTAGGATAATGGCCTCCAGCTGCATCCATGTTGCTGCAAAGCACATGATTTCATTCTTCTGTATGGATGTGTAGTATTCTGTGGTGTATATGTACCACATTTTCTTTATCCAGTCCACTGTTGATGGACACCTAGATTGATTCCATGTCTTTCTTATTATGAATAGTGCTGCAGAACATATGAATGCATGATTTTTCATAGACTAATTTTCCTTTGGATATATACCAAGTAATGAAATTGCTGGGTCAAATGGTAGCCCTGTTTTAAGTTCTTTGAAAAATCTCTAAACTGCTTTCCATGGTGGCTGAACTAATTTACATTCCCATCAGCAGTGTATGAGTTCTCTTTTTCTCTACAGCCTCACTAGCATCTGCTTTTTTAAAAGAGCCATTCTGACTGGTGTAAGATAATATCTAATTATGGTTTTGATTTGCACTTCTCTGATAATTAGTGATGTTGAGCATTTTCTCATATGTTTCTTGGCCACTTGTATGTTTTCTTTTGAGAAGTGTCTGTTCATGTCCTTTGGTCCTTTGTCCAATTTTCTTTTTCTTTTTCTTTTCTTTTTGTTTTTGAGACGGAGGCTCGCTCTGTCGCCCAGGCTGGAGTGCAGTGGTGCGATCTCGGTTCACTGCAAGCTCCGCCTCCTGGGTTCATGCCATTCTCCTGTCTCAGCCTCCCAAGTAGCTGGGACTATAGGCGCCTGCCACCACGCTCGGCTAATTTTTTTGTATTTTTAGTAGAGACGGGGTTTCACTGTGTTAGCCAGGATGGTCTCGATCTCCTGACCTCGTGATCCGCCCGCCTCGGCCTTCCAAAGTGCCCTTTGCCCAATTTTTATGGGGTTGTTTTTTTGCTCATTTAGTTGTTTAAGTTTCTTATAGATTCTAGTATTAGATCTTTGTCTAATGCATAGTGTGTGAATATTTTCTCCCATTATGTAGGTTGTCTGTTTACTTTGTTGATAGTTTCTTTTGCTGTGCAGAAGCTCTTCGGCTTAATTAGGTCCCACTTGTCAGTTTTTGTTTTTGTTGTAATTGCTTTTGAGGACTTAGTCACAAATCCTTTCCCAAAACTGATGTCCAGAATAATATTTTCTAGGTTTTCTTTTAGGGATTTTATAGTTTAAGGTCCTACATTTAAGTCTTTAATCCATCTTAAGTTAGTTTTTGTGTATGGTGAAAGGTAGGGGTCCAGTTTCATTCTTCCGCATGTGGCAAGTCAGCTCTCCCAGCACCATTTATTGAACAGGGATTCTTCCCCATTGCTTTTTTTTGTTGCCTGTGTCAAAGACCAGATGGGTGTAGTAGGTGTGCAGCTTTATTTCCGGGTTCTCTATTCTGTTTTATTGCCCTATGTGTCCATTTTTGTACTGGTACAATACTGTTTCGGTTACTGTAGCCTTATAGTATGGTTTCAATTTGGGTAACTTCATGCCTCCAGCTTTGTTCTTTTTGTTTAGGATTGCTTCCAAGCTCTTTCTTAGTTTTATATTTTTGCATACTCTATTCTTTTTGATTTTATCCTCCATGAAATCTGCGTGACAATATCCTAATTAACTCTACACCCAAACTCCAAAACACCCAACCCAAAAACCAGCTTCTCATGAAAACCTTGCCTCCAGTAAGCAATTCAGTTCTCTGGTTTCCATGACATGTTGTGCATCCCTCCATGTTAATATCTGCCACATGTGGTTGTTTGTGCATGTGAGTGCATGCATGCATATGCATATGTATGTTTGTGTGCATGTGTATGTCTTCTGCTATATTAGGACCTCCAAAGGACAAGAACCACGTGGTATTTGCCCTTGTCTCCCTGGCTTCCAGCATGGTGCCAACCATGCAACTACTGTAGTTCTTAGAACACAATTAGTCCATATTTGAATTCAAAAGCTGTAAGGTCTTCAGTCATATCCTGAGATGCTGAGTTGTAGCAATATAAGGTTTCTACTCTCTACCCTAAGGATGCAGGCAGTCTTAGGAAAAGCCATCACAACCACTCACTTAGGAGCTGAGAGTTTTTCCAGGAAGAAGCATTCAGCCCTCAGTATGAAACTTTTCACTCCAGTATGAACCAGGGACTTTGGTTTTTGATTGCCTCATCCTTGGATTTGCTTTGACAACTTCTTGAAATGGTGTACCCAGTGATTTGGCCTCAAGTTAAATGGCAAACTCTAATTCCTCCTCTCATCTGTATGCATTGCAGTCTTTAATCAAGTGATCCCTACTCAACTGTAGTCTAAGAGAAAGAACCAGACACATACGTTATGCTCCATGTCAAGTAAAAGAATATTAGATCTAGAGCATGATCCTTAAAACCCAGTCATTTAGTTCAATCATTCATTTTACAGATGGAAAAAGTAAAGCTCATGTGTGTTAAATTAATTATCTGAGGCCCTACCATGAGTACTAGAGGATGGGGGCAAGACCCAGTTTTCTAGACTTTCAGCCAAGTGTCCTTTCCACTATATCTTGCTGCTCCCATATTCCAGATCCTTTATTTGAATTTTCAGAGTCATGCACAGAACATATAATTTGGCTCCCACTGTCTTCTTTTATTGGAAATTTAAATTTGGATTTGCATTGCTGCTTTTCCATTCAATGGCGATAAACACTATAAATATCATCTGGGGGGAATGGAAATAAAATAAGCATCTGGAAAGAATGTGCTATAATGAAGATGTCATTGTTTGCCCATAAATGCTAGACAAAGAATCTGGCTTTTCAAAAGCAAATACATGAAAACATCTATGTCCATCCCAACTTGTATTTGTATAAAAAATTAAAATGTACTGAAATAGGTAGATTTTCAAAAAGAGCAGAATCAAATACTATATAAAGTAAATGACTAATTATCTGAATTGGCTGAAAGTATAATAAATACGGCCAAACATCCATTTGTTTTTCCTTCCACCCATTCAAGGTTTACTGAATAAATGATACCCCACAATTGGTGCTATCCCATCTACTAACCAAATGATATTTAGTAAGAGGCAACATAGTTTGAACCACAAAGTAAAACATCTGAGTTTGAAATCTGCTACTTATAAGCCTAGAAAAAACTCTAATACATCATTTTTTTCTTTACTGTTTCATCTCCTTAACATAAACAAGCACTGTTATTTCTCCTACCTTAAAAATAAAAAGATATTTTCTTTGGTCCTACTTCTTCCTCCAGCGATCACCTCATTTCTCTGCTGCCCTTCAGCAAAACTCCGTTGAAGGACTTGTTGATACAGGAGGTTTCCAATTTCTTTCCTCTTATTCTACCTTGAACCCATTCTATTCAGGTTTTCTGCCAACATTGTTCTTATCACTGTCATCAGTGATGTTCATTTTCTTCATCTTACTTGAAATTTCAGCAGCATTTGGTATAATTCATTATGCTCCTTGAGACACTCTTCTTTTGACTTCTAGGACGCCATACTTTGCTTTTCTTTTCCCTAATGTTTATTACCTTTCAGGCTCATTTGCTGATTTTGGATTTCTTAACATTGGAGTACCTTAGATTGGTCTTTGGACCTCTTCTCTATCACTGTCTTAGAGATTTCATCCAGTACCATGTTCTCAGTATCATCTGTATATGATATGCAATTATCATCTCTATATGTTAGTCATATGCTGATGACTCTCAAAATTGTATTTTTCTCCTAGACCTCTCTTCTGAGCTCCAGAATTCTATGTCCAACTGGCTACACAACAGCTCCACTTTGACTAATACACATCCCAAACTTAACAAGTCAACCCTGGGCTCATAATTTGTCCCCCAAACCTGTTACTCTTCCAGTCTTCCCTAGCTAATACCGGATACTTCTATTCTTCTAAAACGTACGTACATGCCTGTACTTAAAGGTCTCAAGTGTTTCCCCACCTCATTTGGGCTCTCCATGACCTGTCTCTTCTCACTGCTCTGCTATTTCTCTCATACTCTCCCTTGTTCACTCCATACCAGCCACATTGGTTCTCCTGCCCCAGGGGGCCTCTGTACCTGTCATTCCCAGTTTCTCTACAGTTCTGTCCCAAATGTCCACATGGCTCCCTCTTTTACTTTTTTTCAAATATCACCTTGCTGAGGCCTTTTCTGGACACCCAATCTAATATTACAAGCCTGCCTTCCCATCATATACTCCTAGCTACTCTTCCCTGCTTTATTATTGGCCTTATGTCTTACCATGAGTGCACTATATACTTTGCTTATTTATTTTGACTACTATGAAGTTCCTCAACTAGAAATTCTTTTTTTGTTCACTGTTGTATCCCCGGTACCTTGAGCAATGGCTGGCACAAAGTAGGCTCTCAAAAAAAATTTGTTCAATGCATGAATGGAATCAGCGATAATGAGAGTTACCTCTTAGGTAGAAAGGTAAGTAGAAAGTAAATGAGATAAGTACTTTGTACATGTTAACGCACAGTAAATGGTAATTATTTACATTCATTTCATCTACCCATGTGTATCTGTTGGAAATAATTTTTGGTGCCAACCATGTGAAGGGAAGGAGAAATTCTAACTAAAAGGGATGCTATGGAAGTACATGGTTTTGCAAGTTAGTCTCAGGCAAGGTAAATACAGCCGATGGGAACACCCTGGAGTTTGGCGCAGATAGCAAGCTCCCAGGCCTGTCTGGGGGTGGTGGGGGTGGTGAGGGAATGTGGGAGGAAAGGGGTAGGAGGAAGGCTGGAAATCATCTGAGTGGGTTCATGGGGTCTGTACATAGTCTTCTGGATGGCCCTGGGTGAGACCTCCGGGCTACACTGCTGTGTGCTGATGTCCATCTTGAGTATCCCTAGCACTGCTCAGCTCCCAGGGAAAGAGACAGGGCTTACAGTATCTGTCTGTCTCTAGGACTTGATGTGCACACCCTAAAGCAACAAAGAACTCCAAGTCCAGGGAAATGAATTGCTGCATATGTTCATATACTCTTTAATAGGATGCTTTGGTATTCAAAATACAAATCCTTATGTTGCGTAACAGCATCATAGTGCCTCTGTCATACTGCTTTTTGCCTAACACATAGCGATGTTACATGTGTTTTCATAGGTTGAAGCAAAAATGAAGTTCCTACATCTAAAGGGTCATTATCATGGACAAAACATATCTTAAAATGAAAAAATACAACTTTAAAAAGGCACTCTAATTCTTCAAGCTATAAAGAATGCATAATTCTCTAAAGCCTTTGTATCCAGATATAGCTATTTGATTAACTGGTATAGACACAGTTGAATAGAACTATTTTGTAAATCATGTCATCTTTGAATTTTATAACTCAAAGGTGATTTACATGGATTTCCCTGAGTTTACTAATTGGCTTCCTACACTCTCATTAAACAGTCCTGGCAACAGAGGCAAAGCAGCTGTGTAACTGCTACCTTCCCGTTGACAGTGTGAACACAACATGGGGATATGTAGAGCAAGATACTGTAACCATGTAACATCATATAATACTTCCCAAACCTTTCCCAGTTTCAGAAGGGACACAGTGGCAACCTCTTTAGTACATGCCTCAGCATTTCTCTACAACTTGTAATTCGTTTCCCATGAGAATTTGAACTCTGCTTGTTACACTAGTGCAGAGCCTGTAGTGTGGCTAAGAGCCTCTGACTGCACTCTTTCAAAGTGGGGACCTTAGACTCTGTTTACTACAGTATGGGATGTGCATGTGTATAGGCATGCATAGATATGCAAGTATGTATAAATATGTACATAGGCTGTGTATGTACATATTATAAGAAAAAAATAAGCAGAAAATGACAGATCCTGATAGAAAAGAAATGAAGAAAGGGATGAAAATGAAGTGGAAGGGAATTAGCATTTATTAAGCTTCTGCTATGATCCAGGCACCCCCAAAAAAAGGCAGTGTGGGGAACAAAGATGGGGATATGCAGTTACCTAGATGTTAAGGAAAGAACTTGTAACATTCTCCTTCCTTAAAAGAGAATTCTGTAAAAATGAATGCTGGCAACCTGTCAGGGAGGGCTTTTCAAGCCATTCAGAGGGAGAACAGAAGGCTATGGGCACTGATTTTGGCTTTGTTTCCCCTAGATGCTGGGCTGCTGTCATGCCATGAGATGCGTTATCTTTGAAGTTCTGCTGAGCAGTCTAGATAGAATGACTTAAAAGTGCAAGTCCCTAAACAGGGTTCAGCTTCCCAGAATACAAATATGCTCAGAGAACCAAAAAGAGGTTAGGAAAAAAACAGCCCAAGACATTTCCCTTTAAGCCCTAGGGAAAGCTAGTAGTATTCAAAATTAAAAGGATTCTGAAAGACTATATGTTGGAGGTTTCTGGATATTGGTATCAGTTTTTGTTTGGGGGGCTTTTTTCTTTTGTTTCACTCAGGGGGCCTCAAGATTTCTGTAACTGCATCTTGTGATTCTTCTGAGGCATTTGCAGTGATAGGCAGAGGGGAAGGGTGACCTCGCAGAGTCCCTGGGCAGGTAGAGGTAGAGTCAAGCTTGGGATGTGACAAAGAGGGATGAAAGTGATAGCTCATTCTGGAGGGCTTCAAAGTAAGCTTTCAGGAAATCCTGTTTAGGAATTTCTGGTCAATTACAGGTTTTGCTTTGGTTGCTTTTGCTTTCTCTACTCCCACTGCCCTAATATCACATCAGATGTCCTCAGCATCACCATGTTTATTATAAGAGACCTCTCTGCCTCCACTTGCATTTTGGGCTAGATTGCATCATTCAGTCCAATTCTCCATCATTGCCTATGTCCACATTCTTTGCCATATAACTTTGCAGTGATCTCCCACTGTGGTCAGGGATCAGCTTGGCCTCTGGACTCTGGACTATGCCATATAATTTTCCTTGACCAATGAGATATTTAGGAGATATGATACAAGCACAGTATGGAAATGTAACTTCTTCAACACTGGGGCTTTCTTTTCTATCAGGAGAAGAATGACAAACATGTGGCCCTAGCAAAGCCCACCAGTCAAGCCTACTTTAGAATAGAGCCCCCCAAAAATCAACAGACGTATACATAAGCTCAGCTGGTACAAGCTGATGCACCCAGTCCAACCCCGATAAAAATGGCTGAAGCTTGCAGGTATGTGATCAATAAATGATTATTGTTGGATGACACTAGGGTTGTGTGGTTGTTACACAGCAAAAGCTAACTGATACAAGTGCTGTTTGGTCTATGTTCCTCATGTCTCCCAGAGTCATATTCCTAAAATGGAACTACAATGATCTTAAAATTATTTTGCCTAGGACCCTTCAATGACTTCTTGTTATGGGCTGAACTGTGCTCCTCCAAAATTCATATGTTGAAGTCCTAAACCCCAGTAGCTCAAAATGTGACTTTACTTGGAAACGGAGTCATTGTAAATGTAATCAGCTAAGATGAGGTCATACCAGAGTATGGTAGCCCCTAACTCAATATGACCCGTGTCCTTACAAAAAGAGGAAATTTGGTGGTAGACATGCATGCAGGGAGAATGCTACATGAACACTAAGGCAGAGATTGGGGTGGATGTGTCTAGAAGCCAAAGAACACTAAAGATTCCAGAAATCTTCCAGAGGCTAAGAGAGAGAGAGATAGAACAGATTCTCCTCCACAGCCCTCAAAAGGAGCTATCCTGCCAATACCTTGATCTCAGACTCTGGCCTCCAGAACTCCAAGACAATACATTCCCGTTATGTAAGCCACTCCCCATTACCTATAGGTTATAGTCTAAAGTCCTTCACAAGATACGTAAGTCATTTCATGAGTTGGTCTCTGCTGTCACTGTATCCCACTTGCTTTAGCCTTGCCCCATTCACAAGCCATGCTGAACTATTTACAGAGCTTCCACTGGCTGCTCAAGAGATATTGTTCATGCTGATCCCTTGGCCTCAAATGCCCTTGTGGCTACCTTCTACCCTCTAGTAGACCCCAGATCTTTACCTAGTTAACTTCTATTTATATTTCAAGCTCCAGGTTGGGCATCATCTCTGGAAACTTTCTCCTGACTTTCTCAATCCTAACTGTAGGGTGATGTCCTACTAAAGCTCCTTATGCACACTATAGACGTATTTCTATGACAATACTTATAAAATTGTGGCAAGTTGTTTGCGACACATCTGTGTCCTCAGAAACAGTCTTGATAACGAACCTCTTGAAGGCAGGGCCATAAACTATCTGTTCTTGTATTCCTAGTAGCTAGCATGGTGCTTGGCGCAGAGTGGCTGTGCAGCAAATGTCTGTGGAAAGAATCTGTGTGTTTATGTGGAAATATCCAAACAGATGTGTTCTTGGCATAAGGGAGATATATTCTGCTTGTGTGACAACTGGCAGTTGAGTTTGCTTGGCATCAAAAGCACCCAATTAAAGACCAAACCTCACTTCCTTCTTTTTCTTCATTTCCTTCTTTCTCTATAACTACACAATCTCACATGCCTTATAATGCTTTTAGATGTAAGTGACTGTGAATTATTACCAACTGTATGCCTTTCATCTTTAAGACTGACAGTCTAAGTTCAACATCTCTCAGGAGGGAGAGACTATTATAACTATATTTTTGCTTACCAAGAGAATTGTTAATGGTTATCCTGGAGGGAAAAAAATCTATAAATATCCAACTCGTAATGAAGCCTTAAGCTTACATTCTTCCTTTACTAATGAAACTCTTTCTGACTATACTGCCAGAATTGCTACATAACCATTTCACTGAGAAAAGAGACCAAGTCTGTAGTAAATTTTTTCTTTTACCTGTTTAGTTCTTATTTTGGAATCCGAAGACAGATTGTTGTAGGTATAATGTGCTTGTGTGACTCCACAGAAGAGAACAGCAACTATCCCTGAAATTAAAAAAACAGATCAGTCAAAACCAATTTTTCTTTTCCATCCAAGTCAAAGGTTAGGGCTATTCCAGTTGGAAAATAGACTTGGTGTCAGTAGAGTTAAAACTGCTAGTAGTTACCATGATAATGCAACCTAGGTAAATCTTGCACTTGCTTTAAACAGGGTTTAAACAGGGTCCTGAAGGATTAAACCTAAAGAAAAACATTAAGAAGTAGATTCTAAATAAACATGAGAAGTAGATTCTTCCTGGAGATAAACGGGTCCCTGTTCATGAGCTAGAAAAGTTATATTTGAAAACATGAACAAAAGACTCCATAGCCAACCCTGGGTTTTTCATAGCCAGTGCCAACTACTTTGCTGGATTTTATACTAAATACTGGCATATTTTCTGAAAGATATTTGCTTTCCGCTGTATACTTTGGGTAGCCTAAAGAAGTTCCTGTCATACCATAATTTAGTATTAAAAGTCATGAGTGACAAACCTAAGACATCCACAAGGGTTTTGCTGCCCCTGCCAACGCTCCTACTTGCCAAGCAAGAGAAAGGAGACCTTGTTTTCTCCTGTGCCTCTTTGGAAAGGCTGGGTGCTCTGTCCTGCTGCCAAACACACCCAAGGCATTCACTCCTTGAAAGTAAACTGGTCTGTTCTTGTGTGATTCCTACCAACAGTGGACCTTCAGTTGCTTCTTGACATCTGCAGGGTTTAGTTTTAAACCACATATCAGCTTTAAATGTGACATGAAGTCACACATACACTAGATGCTTTCTGGAGACAGAGGAAGAGCGACCATGAGACCGACATGCTATCTGTCCCTGGGCTCTGTTATTCTCTGTGTTATTGTCCCTGGGCTGGAGTGGGGAAGCAGTGGGAGCTTGCACTGTACTTTGGGTTAAAGATTAGCTCAATTGTGGGAAATTGGGCATAGAGGAGGGCTTTGGGAAAAATGCAAGATATAAGTATTCCTCGACTCAGACCAAGGGGATTGAATTGAATTTTAAGCAGCAAAATCTTTCCAACTAAAAACACTCATAAATTAAATGCTGATGATTCTTAAGAGTATAGAGATATGTGAACTGAATACTGACATTTCAAGTGAATCTGCAACAAAGAATTTTAAAGAACTGAGCTTTAAAAAAATATGTAGACTATATGCTTCTATTTACATGTTGGTTATTTTTCAGGTCAGCATTGGATAAAACATTGCTAACACATATTTGCATAAATGTGTAAAATCTACATGACTTATTGTCTTTTAACATTATGCTTCAAAATTTTAGACAAAAGAATAAAACAAGTAGGAAATTTTACCATGAAATATCTATTCAGTAGGCAATTCAACAGATTTTTGGTAACTTCTCAGTTTCTTAGCATCTCTTCAGAAATTCTAAGGCAAAAATTCTTATAAACTATTTTACTATTCACAGAATTTCTATTTTAAAAAGCAACAAATACCAGGGAAACTTTTAGTGTGCTGAAGCACTAAGTACTTCAAAGCACAAGGAGGATTACCCTGTATACTGTTTTGGCATAAATCATTTCTCTTTATTTATTTAAAAATGTGGCCTATGTCTGTCTAGTGTGTAGTCTATTGGGGGTTTTCTGGGTGAGGTTTTGCTGACCTGTTCACTGTTTTGACTAGATATTGATCTGTAGAGAAGTAGTGAATAAAAGGGCAGGTGTGTCTGTGTATGGATAGCAAATAAATTCATTGTAAGAACAAGAATAGGTAACAAAGAAGTGTTACAAAGGATAAGGAAGGGACTAAGATTGTCTGAATACCTACTGTGGGCCAAGAACAGTGCTTGTTTAATTTACATCTTCTTATTTACTGCAGTGAGTTACTATCTCACAACAGGCTCACAATGATTAAGCAGCCTCTCCCACTGCCTTCTCCTTTTTAGTAATAGCATCCATTCTTTTTGCTGCCCAGGGGGAAACTTTGGGACCACCCTAAGTGCACCTCTCACTGCAAATCAGCAATTTTGTTTACTTGTCCTTCAAAATGCACCTTGAACCCAAACACTTCTCAACATCTCCATCCCTAGCATCCCTTTCCAAGCCCCCATAACCTTTGGCCTGGATTACAACGATAGCTTCCTAACTGGCCTCCCTGCCTCCCATGGTAGCCCCTAGCAATAACGCTTCTTTAAAAACTAGTCAGACCATGTCTGGCCTTTGCTCAAAACTTTGTAATGGATTCCTGTGGCTTAAAAGGTCCTGCAAGATCTCTTCCTGCCCCTTCCCCACTCCCCACAACTTGCTGACCTCTTCTCTGACCACTCCCCACCGCCTTACCTTTCAATATCCTCTCTAAGTATGTTCTGCCAGGGGCCCTTGCACTTCCTTCCAGGTCCCACTGTTTGGAATGCTCTGCAGATATCCACATGGCTCCTTCCCTCCTTCAGATATCTGTTTAGATGTTACATGAGCAGACAGGTCTTCTCCATCCACTCTGTACAAATTGTTCAGTCTCATCATTCTCTACTTGCTTTATTTTTTTCCTGTACTATATCTTGCTACTTGATATTTTATATATTTATGTGTTTATTTTCTGCCTTCCTGCATGATATGGTTTGGCTGTGTCCCCACCCAAATCTCATCTTGTTGTAGTTCTCATAATTCCCACATGTTGTGGGAGGGACCTGGTAGGAGATAATTGAATCATGGGGGAAGCTTCCCTCATACTGTTCTCTTGGTAGTGAATAAGTCTCATGAGATCTGATGATTTTATAAGGGGTTTCCCCTTTCACTTGGCTGTCATATCTCTCTTGTCTGCTGCCATGTAAGATGTGCCTTTCACCTTCCACCATGATTGTGAGGCCTCCCCAGCTACGTGGAACTTTGAGTCCATTAAACCTCTTTTTCTTTATAAATTATCCAGTCTTGAACATATCTTTATCAGCAGCATGAAAATAGACGAATACACTGTAACACAAGGCAAAGCTCATTGAAGACAGAGGGATTCCTTGATTCCTAATGATTAGAGCAGTACCAGGCACATGGTAGGCACTCCGTATTTGTTGAATAAATAAGTGAACATTCCCATTTCTATTGAACAAGTAAGACACTAAAGTAATTTACTCAAGGTCACCTCTAAAGTGACAGAGCTGAGATCAAATAGTCCATAGCATCCCTGTGCTTTTCTGCCTATATTAGACCATCTGTGAATGTTTTAAGGTGATCTTAAGCCATCTAAAAAATATTTCTGATATCCCAGGAACTAGCCAGAGATTTTACGAAAAAGATTACATATCTCTCTGAACTAGCTGGGCTTATCATTGGAGAATATTTTCCCTAGTGGCTGCATTGGTTATCATTTCCTTGCCTCCAGTAGAAAACTAACAGGCTATGTTGTTGCTAAATATCTTTTGAGTCTTGTGTGGATGGATATGTCATATAAACAACAAACAGTGGAGAATGAGCCCACATGACCAGAGGCTTGGTGTTGTAATTAAAATAAAACAACAAAATTGATCTGACCCTTAGTATTAGCATACACAATCATAATTCCATAGCTTAGTAATAAATTAAATCACACAAATTACTGTAATTAGTATGACTTTTACAAGCCAAACACATTTTGAAAATGTCTCATCTAAATACATCTATTATCTATAAAATTCTCCAACACAGAAACAAATTCAAAGTTGACTGTTTTCTACCTTATGAAAGAACATTTTAATTATCACTATGTTTTTATATACCCATGCCTGAGTCCTAATTGTGAAGCTGTTATGTGAGGTCCTAGATAGTTCTCTTAAACTCTATGAACCTCAGATTCTTGTGTGTAAGAAAGAGGGTGAGGGGGACCCTCAAGGGGCCTAGAAGTGCTTTTTGTGCCAGTCATCAAACCAGTGTCTCAGCTCCAAACCCACGTATCTTTACTGGCTCTGTGATCCTGGCACAGGGGCCCTATAAACCATGCTTTCCTTTGCCAGTGCTGTTGGATCCTGCCAGTATGAAGTGCCAGAAGGTGACTAGAACCCAGTGGAGGAGAGAAGGGCTTGCTTCTTCCTATTTGCCTGCTCTTCCTGCTAGCTTCATCTCAGCAATGATACACCTCAGAAAGGGCAGCCAGGCAGTGTCCTTAGAATTCTGGATCCTAGCCCAGTGGTTGCCTCTTAGGAGCTTCTAGATTCATTTCCCTTTACTTTTCCTACTCCTAGGGTTCACACTTGCTTCCTGTAAGTATTACCTCTCTGTTACCTTTATGCACACTTTATACCTTTTGAGATCTCCACCAACTCTCTACCCAATTTCCTGAATTAAACTCTGTCAATAGCCAGATCGTTTTCTTTTTTTCTGAGTCAATCCTCGTTGATATTCTCTTGTGGTTATCTTCTCTTTCTAAACTTTGATAGTTCTTGGAAACCACAGTTTTCCATTTGAAAATAAAATCCAACTTGTATCTTTGCTGTCATAACTGAGACAATGAGGAACACTAGGGGCAGGCAAGACCATGTGCCAAGTCCAAGAGAACTGGAACTCATCCTCTTTTCAGTTGTACCTATGGTTGGAATTGGTATTTTTAAAAAGTGATGTGGTTATATGGTTTGGCTGTGTCCCCCATCACATCTCATCTTGAATTGTGGTTCTCATAATCCCCATGTGTCAGGGGAGGAACCCAGTGGGAAGTGATTGGAGCATGGGGGTAGTTTCCCCCATGCTGTTCTCATGATAGTGAGTGAGTTCTCACTAGATCGGAGGGTTTTACATGTGTCTGGCGTTTCCCCTGCTTGCACTCATTCTCTCTCTTGCCACCCTGTGAAGATGTGCCTTCTGCCAGAATTGTAAGTTTCCTGAAGCCTCCTCAGCCTTGCAGAACTGTGAGTCAATTAAACCTCTTCTTTATAAATTACCCAGTCTCAGGTATTTCTTCATAGCAATGTGAGAATGGACTAATACAGTAAATTGGCACCGAGTGGGGTGGGGTGTTTTTATAAGGATATCCAGAAATGTCGATGCAACTTTGGAACTGGGTAACAGGCAGAGGTTGGAACAGTTTGGAGGGCTCAGAAGAAGACAGGAAAATGTGGGAAAGTTCAGAACTTCCTAGAGACTTCAGGGACTCAGAAGACAGGAAGATATGGGAAAGTTTGGAACTTCCTAGAGACTTGTTGAATGACTTTGACTAAAATGCTGATAGTGATATGGACAATGAAGTCCAGGCTGAGTGGTCTCAGATGAGGAACTTGTTGGGAACTGGAGCAAAGGTGACTCTTGCTATGCTTTAGCAAAGAGACTGGTGGCATTTTTGCCCCTGCCCTAGAGATCTGTGGAAATTTGAACTTGAGAGAGATAATTTAGGGTATCTGGTGGAAGAAATTTCTAAGCAGCAAAGCATTCAAGAAAACTCAAAACAGAAAACATTGGAAAATTTGCAGCCTGACAATGCAATAGAAAAAAATAAAACCATTTTCTGGAGAGAAATTCAAGACCATTGCAAAAATTTACATAAGTAATGAGAAGCCAAATGTTAATCACCAAAACAATGGGGAAAATGTCTCCAAGGCATGTCAGAGACCTTCACAGCAGCCCCTCCCATCACAGGCCTGGAGGCCTAGGAGAAAAAAATGGTTTAATGGGCCTGGCCCAGGGCCCCCCTGCTCTGTGCAGCCTCAGGACATGGTGCCCTGTGTCCCAACTGCTTTAGCTCCAGCTTTTACATGGTGTGGAGCCTGTGGGTACATAGAAGTTAATAATTGAGATTTGGGAACCTCCACCTAGATTTCAGAGGATGTATGGAAATGCCTGGATGTACAGGCAGAAGTTTGCTACAGCAGTGGAGCCCTCATGGAGAACCTCTGCTAGGGTAGTATGGAAGGAAAATGTTGAATTGGAACCCACACAGTCTCCACTAGGGCACTGCCTAGTGGAGCTGTAGGAAGAGGACCACTGTCCTCTAGACCCCAGAATTGTAGATCCACTGACAGCTTGCACCGTGCACCTGGAAAAGCAACAGACACCCAATACCAGCCCATGAAAGCAGCTGAGACAGGGTTGTACCCTACAAAGCCACAGAGTCAGAGCTGTCCAAGGCTGTGGGAGCCCAAGTCTTACATCAGCATGACATGGATGTGAAATGTGGAGTCAAAGGAGATCATTTTGGAACTTTAAGGTTTAATGACTGACATAATGGATTTTGGAGTTGCATGGGGCCTGTACCTCCTTTGTTTTGGCCAATTTCTCCTATTTGGAATGCAATGCCTGTACCCTCATTGTATCTAGGAAGTAACTAACTTGCTTTTGATTTTACAGGCTCATAGGCAGAAGGGACTTGCCTTGTCTCAGATGAAAATTTGGACTTGGACTTTTGGGTTAATACTGGAATAGGTTAAGACTTTGGGGGACTGTTGGAAGGGCATGATTGTGTTTTGAAATGTGAGAACATGAGATCTGGGAGGGGGCAGGGGCAGAATGTTATAGTTTGGCTGTGTCCCCACCCAAATCTAATCTTGACTTATAGTTCCCATAATCCCCATGTGTCATGGGAGGGTCCTGGTGGGAAGTAATTGGATCATAGGGACAGTTTCCCCCATGCTGTTCTCATGATAGTGAGTTCTCACTAGATCTGATGATTTTATAAGATTCAGGTATTTCCCCTTCTTGCACTCTTTCTCTCTCCTGCCGCCCTGAGAAGAGGTGCCTTCCGCTATGATTGTAAGTTTCCTGAGGCCTCCCCAGCCATGTGGAACTGTGAGTCAATTAAATCTCTTCTCTTTATAAATTACCCAGTCTTGGGTATTTCTTCATAGCAGTGTGAGAATGGATAATACACAGCCTTTATATTGGAACAAGTGGTTTGGAGAGAGAAATATGTTAGACCTAGAACTATTAATGAGGCATAGCCCAGACTTGGATTTATGTCTTCCAATTCCCAATCCCATAATCCTTCCAAAACACAAGCACTATCCTATGGTAGAGTAGCTACTGCGACGTGTAAGACGTTCCTATCATATGTTTAAGCTGAAAGATTATCTGCCAGCATTGTTGTAGAAAGGATTATTTTCTTAAAGTCTGGATTTCCTCCAATTCTGAAGGCCTGTCATTTTCCTATGTATTACTTCATTAATCCACTGGGATGAACCCTTCAATTCAGTCTTTGTTTTTTTTTTTAAGGTCAAAGAAATAACACTGGTTCTAAATGAAACCTTTAAGCATTTTGAATAGAGGCCAATTTTCTCAATAAGTGAAGACAAGATAAGCTTATAGGCTTTCAAAATTGTTTCAATTTCAAACAAGCCTTCTAAAGTAAAATTTAAAAATATATTGTTACCATATCTTCTACTCATAAGAACTTAGTTTTTTCAAATAAGCTATGAGGTTTAAAGAGAAACTCCAAAAGTCTTCTCCATGTAAAAAAGGATATTTTTAAATCTCTAGAACACAAACCTTCAGATCAAAGGGCATTGAAAATAGTGAGTTCGGATGACTCTGCCCAAGCGACAGAGCAGTTCACCCCACAAAGGAACCCACTCCCTCTCTCCTTCTCTCTTACTGCTGTTTCTTACCACTTTGCCTTGCCTGTTCTTGTCACTCCCAGGCTTTGCTTAATTTACAGCTTATATCACTGTCCTCTCCATATATCAGAAGCCACTTGACCACATCTGGAAGTGCAACTGTGGCCCAAGAATCCACAAGGCAATGATTTCAGGACTCTGGGTATTAATGTACATCTGAGCACCAAATCACCTGGGGATTTAAATGCAGATTCTCCTTCAGTAGGTTTGGGGTAGAGCCCCCAATTCTGCATTTTTATACTATTAGGGGATGTCCATGATGCCGGCCCTTGGACCACACTTTGAGGAGCAAGTCTCTCCCTAACGGTCTGGGTCTAGGTATCAACTCACCCTTGCTAAGAGTTGGCTCTGACCTTGTATGTCCCCAAAAGATATTTTTCCCTTATTCTTGACCTCTTAGCATTTTGGAACAATTATAAGACATCTTCAAAGGAGTAGCACAATTTTTGTTACCCTTTTTTTTGGCTTATAAATATCTTTTGCTAATTTCAAAAAATGTTTTAAAATTATATTTTTGTGTTTTATTCTTTGGTTTTCTTTTCCTAGCTTTCCAGAATTGACATGGTTCTGTGAAGTCATTTTAGTTTCAGAGAGTAATTATTATCAAGAAAATCTGAGAGGTTTTAAATTTTTTTTACTTTACTTTAAAATTATTTCCTTTTCATCCCAACAATATTGGAATGTGAAAAAATTACATAAAATAAAATTGATGATATACTTTACCACCAAAAAGTTGAATAAAACTTTTTCCTTCAAAAAAAAAAGGAAACAAATACATCACATCTTTTGATCACAATGTTATAAGGCTGTCATATTTTTTACCACAATGTTATAAGACTGAAAATTAACAAAAAAGCATAGGCTAAATAAATGTATCCACTGGAGACTTTCAAATGCATTTTTCTAATTAAAATTTGAGTTGAGGCCAAACGCGGTGGCTCACGCCTGTAATCCCAGCACTTTGGGAGGCTGAGGCAGGCTGATCACCTGAGGTCAGGAGTTCGAGACCAGCCTGGTCAAAATGGCAAAACCCCGTCTCTACTAAAAATACAAAAATTAGCCGGGCGTGGTGGTGTGCGCCTGTAATCCCAGCTACTTGGGAGGTTGAGGCAGGAGAATTGTTTGAACCCGGGAGGTGCAAGTTGCAGTGAGCTGAGGTTGTGCCATTGTACTCCAGCCTGGGCAATAAGAGTGAAACTCCATCTCAAAATAAATAAGTAAATAAATTGAGTTGAAGGTGAAATCAAATGTGAAATTTTAGATTATTTAGAAATAGGATAACAATAAGTTTATACCACATACCCTATCAAAACCAATGGGATAAAAACCAAATAATTATTTAGTGGAAAATTGATAGTCTTCTGTGCATTTTATCAGGACAAAAAGATTGAAAATAAGTAGATTATTTACCTCAAGAAACTGGACAAGGGGCATAAAAATAGACCCAATGTAAGCAGAAAAAACTTAACCAAGAAAAATGAAAAAGTAGCCAAAAAGAATATATGAAAAAGAGGACTTGGCCACTAAAATAAAGAGCTGCACGGTAAGAGTAGGGTCCACGCCTCTCAGCCCCTGTGGTATCTTGGGCCTCGATGCTTCCCAGGCTGCCATTCTCTCGCCATGGCTACAGGCATAACACGGGTGATGCTGGCCAATAGCTTCACCCTACTGAGACTTAATTTTCTCATCTGGCTAGTGGCTACCTGTCTCACGGTCTGTTTTTAATATAATGCAATATGATGGATATTAAAATGCTTTACAAACTCAATACTCTTAAGTAAACATAAGGTTTTGCCATAAATATTAGGAGATGAAAGGAAGAAGACAAGAAGGAATAACTTGGAGAAACTCATTTCAGGGATAAATACAGCAACATTTCCTATTTAACAAGTGACTGGGAGATAGTACAAGCTTTGCACATTCTATGCCCTTTTTCACCTTTGTTGTCTTCCCTTCACCTTTAACTCCTGCATCAAGGAAAGCAGGTAGATATGTGCTTGCTATTCCTAGTAATCTAAACTTAGACAATTCTCAGTAATGTCACAATTAAGCTACCAGACTTACATGAGTGAGTTTGGTATCTGGTATTTACTCACTCAATTGCTAGTTATCTATTGAGATCCTATACTGAGCAAAGCACTGACCATGGGTATGAGGAACACAAGACTGAATAAAGCAGGCCTAGGCCTCAAGCAGCTTTATGTCTCCTAACAGAGATAAGATATATACAAAGACATCTAAAACTGGTAGAATAGTGGGTGATAACAAAGGAATTCTCAAAGGGAGTAATTTCTTTAAGGCTAGAAAAGCTGGGACAGGGATGAGGAATGTTTTCCTGAAAGTGGCAGAGGCATTTGGGTCTTGAGAGATGAGAAAAATTTGGGAGTGCAGGTTCATGGGTAGGGACTTCAGTAAGAGCAAAGGGAGAGAGGCAGGTGATTGCGGGGCATATCTGAGAAACATGCACTTTACCAGCACACTTGGACTTTAATCCATTATAGATAGGGAATAAATACACATGAATTAATTTAAAAATTTTTTGAATACAAAACTTAATAGGAGAAACAACTAATAAACTCTATGCTTAATTGTCAAACTATTATAAGCACTAAGGTATTTATCTTGCATGTTTTGTTAGGCCTAGTATACATAAAATTAGAAATATAAAATATCTAGTATGTCTACCCTCTGCTGGCAAAGTATTTCTTCATTTTCTTTCCCAATAAAAATAAAATCTGATCATTCTGTTTCCATCTCTGCTGGAAAAACAAGCAATCCTTAAATGCAACTCTTACTTTACATGTCCAAGATCTTAGATTTAAATTGGACATATGAGGCCCTGCAGCAATGATGAATGGACTCAACTACATACATCTGGGTCCATGCGGAGTGGGTCATGCTCAAAAATATCTAGGACCTAAAATAAATAAAGGACTCTGAAAGAAATCAGGAGGTGGCCTACAAAAAATAATGATAAGAGCATCTGACTCATGTTTGTGCACAACACTGCCTTTCAGTGTTTGTACAGTGAGATTTCAGTGGTGGGTAAGAGCCCAAAGGATTGACTGCAGGGACTCATTTACACAATTTTGGATAAGAACTAGAACCAACACTTTTTGATAGTATCTAAAAGAACTGTTTTGAAAAACCACAAAGAGGCACACGGTTAAATTCAAGTTAATTGGCAAGCAAAGAAATTTAGGAAACAGCATGAGGAGATCTATGCTTCTTGGGGAAAAATAAAGATTCTGCTGGCAAGTAAATTATTTCCAGAGAGATCAATTTTCAGAGAACAATTAAGTCTTTTTGTTTAACACAGTACCATTTATACTGTTCTCCATGACTTCCACTTCTGGACCCCCTCAGAAAGCATTAGTGCTACTAAATATACTATGTCTATTTACTTGTTGATATGATCAAACTTCAATATGTGGTTGTAAATTATGTAAGAAAAAACGTGCAATACTGGGAGTCAGAAGACATAGGATCTATCTGGTCACAGTTCAGACACTTTGCTAGTTTGATGACTGATGCAATTTAAATGCATTGCCTCGTCCATTGCTTTCTCCTCACTAAATTGAGGAAGGTAGTCTGTTTAGTGGTTTTCAAATAGGGGTATATAAGACAATCCAAGGAAGGGGGAAGAAAACGTAAGATCATCATAATTTTAATTAGCACTTTTGTATATTCTAACATAATATAATTACCCTTGTGGGCAAAAAAATGAAAATTAATATATAAGCATGTGTTACATAATAAATCTATTTGTTGCCAATAAGGGTCAAGAAACTCTGGCAAGCATTGCTCTAGATGACCTCTCAGCACCTTCCAATTATAAATGTCTGTAATATAAATGGTTCAGTTTTTACTTTGCTTCAAGGTCTGCATACTTGGGATTGAAGAATTGCATGGGGTTTAACAGCTTCACTTGACTTCCTGTCAACTAGATTACCCAGTGTCTCCCTCTTGACCTCTATCTCCTCAAGAGCTAGGTTCCTGACCTGCTGTCTTATCGCTGACCCACAGCAGTGTCCAGCACATGTCAGGTACTCAAATACACATCTGTCAAAGGAATGAAATTCTACTTCAAGAAATGTTTATGTGCTTTGAAAAGAGAACACAAGGAGATTAATCCTAATTCTCACTTACGAATAAATGTTTATATGAATTTATTCCTGGCAGGGTCCGTTGTCTTCTAATATTTAAATTTTCTTATTCAAGAGTATGTCACCTACAGCCTCTGCTTCTGATAACATTACTCCAGAATTCTTTTCTCATTAAAAGTTGATGAAGCCGTCAGATACAGAAGTAGAAAATAAGTGTCTGTCACATGAAGCATGCTCTACCTTGACATTAAATGCAGACTTGAAGAGTTTCTAAGACTACAGAATACTGCATTTTTGGACAGGAATATTGATTATATCACCAGAACACAGAAAGAGAATGAATAAGAAAGAAAAAGAAATGTGTCTTGCACTCAGATGGTCCTCTGAGGGGTTTAAGAGGTTGATGGGTTATTCTTCCATGCCACACTTTTATTTATTTTTGATCTAGTAAAAAGAGACATTTCTGACAGGTTTCCTACAACCACTGAAAGTGAACCTGGAACTGAGAAGTCAAAGATTTAACAAAATGGAAAACTCCTTCAGGCAATATGAAAGTATCCAACTTTCCAAAGAGTACAATTACCATCTAGTTCACCATATTTGGCAACTCCATAGTTGGCAGATTAATAATGCATCTGTGGAATATAAGAACATCAATATAGAAAACAGCATGAATCTATGTTATTATTTCTGATTCCTCCAATGCTGAGTATATAGATATGCACTTAAGTGTTACTTCAAATCTATGTTGCCAGGTTTAGAAATTTTTGTTTAAAAATATCCTCTATGTAAATTCTTCATAACATAGTAATGAGTACTTATGCAAATTATCTTGAGGTCTGGAGAAGAAGGAAAGACCTATTTTGCTTAGATCCCTGGCATGGCGCCTCAAGTTTTGGTGTTCATTAGGCTTACCCTCCTTACCCTGGTTTCTTTCTAGTTCCCATTTCCTTGGAGTCAGCTAACACATTTACATCAATGTTGCCTAAATCTGTGATCAGCAATCTCACCCCAGAAGTCCAGGCCAGTTGCCCACTGTACTTTTCCATGTGGATATTCTACCCTTGTGTGGAATTCTGAAGGTCCTGGAATGAACTGATTATTGTGTCTCCTTTTGGCGCATGTATTCACTCACTTGTATTCTCCATTTTGGTGAAATCAACCACTGACCCAACAGACATAAAAAACCCGGGAATTATCTTTGACTCATTTTTCTTCTGCATCCACATGTTATTTGTGCCATCTTCTGACAATTTTCTACATGCCTATGCAGAATATGGGTTCTTGGGAAATAATTTTACCTTTTTCTCTATGACTCCTGGCACCATGAAGAGTTGTTAAATAATGACTGAAAACATTTACAATGAAGAAAGGAGGGGTAAATTTGTCCACTGCTTTAGCTATATGTGCAGGTTGTTTGAATATTGAAATGAAGAGCTATTTGGTTCAAGGAAGTGCAGGTGTGAGTTAATGAGTTATTATGCGAGAAGACATACTTTACACCTGTGTTTATTGAGATGGCATCATTGCATGTTTGTCTTTGGTTCAGTGTGCTGGTTAACTAATCCCCTTGAGAATTGTAGGCACTATTTCTGCAGCTTGAACGCCTAATATTTTGAGCCTCAGGGTTTTGTTTTTTTTTTTCCAGCTTGGAAAACACTCACTTCACCTCATTTGTTGGTGAATTGTTGGTTAAGTTGGATTCACCTGGTTCTGTCAATATAAAGCAAACCAGTTTTAAGGTAAGAGATGTTGGCTAATGACACGTATTTGGAAGCTAAAACTGGCCAGATTTGTTTTGAGAAACAATTCAAACGAAGTCCCCTCCTGGAGATTTGTTTTATTTACTGAGCTCCAGAAATGCATTTCCCATCCAGTCATGCAGTGCATCAGTGGCAAGCCAAATGGAACACATTCACCTCTGAGCTAAAAGCCTTCTTAAGAGTTTGAAAACAATTTTTGCCCAAGTGAGAAATGATGAGATGAGAAGTAATAAGCCAACTTACTTACTCAGACAAGTGAAATCTCAACATGTCCAGTAATAGTCATTTCATTTGGAAATCTCTCCTCCTTATCTATTGCAAAATAGACTTTCTCAAGTTCCCCTTTTCCCTCACTGCTTACTCTACAAAAGCCTTTCAAGAACTGACTTGACAAATACATAGCACCTGAGTTCCAAGTGCAGCTTTTCCTATCATGGCAATGTAATTAGGCCCTTGTGATTTGAGGCCAATAGGAGAACAGGCTTAGGGGAAGGGATTGAGATGATTTAACTGTTTGTGTTGTAAACACAACTTGCATGTGCTGAGCACTTCTTTCTTTCAGACATCTTGGTCAATTCCTTAATGAATAGGCCAGAGTGTTACTTGTTTTTAACTTCCCACACTTTCATTTTTTTTAAGATTCATTTACTCTCTAGAATCAGATTAGAAAGCCCAGCCCCATTACTTAATAATCAGGACTTCTTTTTCTTCATATTTCTGGATGCCTGTTTTCTTAAATGGAAGTCATTCTAAGCTGAGTAAATAGTGTTCTATACTGTTTAACTTTTTGTATGAGAAAATGAGATATGCCAGTGGCACTCTTCCCCCTCCTCTGCCTCCAATGAACATAAAATTGCCCTAGGAATCTAAAAATGGAAGCTGTCTTTATTAGAGCAATGCCTGGAAGCAGGGAAATCATTAGACATGGTGTCAATGTTGCCATTAGAAATCTTACTCTTTGGGTGTTTAATGACAGTCCCTGAAAGTTTGCTTCTGGCGAAAACCTGACCCCCAAAGTCTCAGCTGGGAAACAGATTATAAAAATGAATTTTCAAACAACCTGTCCAGCTGTGCTTTTCGGTTATCTTTATAAACTGGAAAGCAGCTTCTATGACAGGATTCAATTCCATTGGAGATATGCTATAAATAATACTGCTGAAGTATTTTCAATATTCATTTAAAAATAATGGCTCAGTAACCTAATGACTTTTAGAAAACAGGCCTCTGCACAAGAAAAATTCTACCTGATCCAAAATTAGGTAGTCGTGTATACCAGGTACCTCACAGAGAGAATTCCTTAGGGTCATGTATTTACCCAAAAGCCACATTCTGTATGTGTACAATGTCCTTCTATTACAAAGCAATAAATTCCTTTGACTTTAGCAGTAAGGAAAATAGAGATGCCAATTAATAGGATGACTTATTCCAATCCTTTAGCAAGTCAGCTGAAGATCCAGAAGCCAGAGACACATGCCTCGGTGGCTGATTTTGTAAGTATGGCAGACACATCCACATATGTTCTCTTCTTTCTATGCTCTCTGGATTTGTGAGAAGTCCCTAATGTCCATTTCTCTGTACATACTCTCATCCTCTATAAAGACTTCTCACTTGCATTTTATATTCTGCCCAATCTTCCCAAATAAATGTTTTCTCAATGCACTTGTATATTTCAAGCAGCACAGATTCAGATTTCTGGGTAATAGAAACACCAGCCTTCATTTGCATGTCTAAAAGCCACTTGTTTCCATAAAACCAAGTTCTTGTATGTGACTATTGAACACTGGCAGGTGCAATTTCCAAGAGACTGAGATGAGGTGGCTGCAAATGTGGCCCTTGAAGCAAAAGATGATCAAAATAAATCAAATGATCATCATCAAATTAGTAACAACTGAAAGTGAATGCAGGCCACGTGTTAATGAGCAAGCTGCTTACACTGAAGTGTTCATGATGAATCTGGTAAGAAGCTGAATTGGAAAGGATAATGAACACTGCAAACTGTCTTTAAAAGCTTGATTCTTTTTGTTCGTTTATCAGTATGCACCTGGCATAAGATGGTCCCAAGTATCCTAGCCTAGAGGCTGTGCCGTCTTTGAGACTGTCTTCCCTTCTGATCTGTCACAAAGTTATACAATTTCTTTTGTTGAAATACCTCATGGACTATTCCTTCCTTTGTACCATTTAGATTTCTTTGTTTGCAAGTAATAAAAACAGACTCTGGCTAGCATAATCAGAAAGGAATTTATTGGAAGGAAGTGTGATAGCTCTTAGAAAGGAGGCATCATGGCTGCTCCAGGGATCTGGTGGCAGGAATAAATAAATAGAGGGTCTCAATAGGGCTCTGCTATTGAGGAGGTGCCAGCAGTTATACAGCCTCCTCTCTCCCTCCTAAAGTTTTACATACCAGGGGAAGAGTGTCTAGTTGTCCTACCTTCAGATGTCCTAATTCTCTTTGTCAGGGGAGGGTGGGACACGTTGATTAGAAGATGTTATCCATTGGAGTTGGGGGTAGTTTCCTAAGAAACATTAGGATGCTATTACCAGTGGAAGTGAGAATGTGTTGGGGCAGCCAGAACCAACACATGTCCACCACATTCTTCTAGACAGAGCTGTTCCTTTCATGCCTATATGTCTTCATTTTTTAACTTAATAATTGGGAAAATAAGGTTACAGATTAATGCAATTTATGAGATATCATTTACTTGACGTATGGATCTGCTGTGAAATGTTTGGACCAGAGGATGTGTAAAATCTGTAGGAATATTATTGGGCACAGAACACTTACTACCTTATAAAGTGATCTGTTATTCAGGTTTTGAAACTTTTTTCTTTTGTGAGTGAAAATTATTCATTCCACTGCTCGAACGATATTTATTTTGTGCCCACAATGCTTCAGACATTCTTTTGGTGCTGACAAAGCCCTCCTGAACTTGACAGTCTAACTTCTGCCCATTAATCCTAATTCTCCATCAGCTCTAATTTTGTACTTTAGAGCTACAGAGAATAAATCAAATAGTGCAGTGCAATCTAGATGCACATATACAAACAATAACCAGTTAGAAACTATAAAGAAGTTCCCATTTACTGTAGCACCCCAAAATATAAAGTAGCTGCTGAAAAGATACTTAACAAGAAATTTGTAGGTCTAATGTGAAGACAACTGTAAAAATTTACTGAGAGCCGTAAAATAAGACTCAAATAAATGGAGAGTCATAACATATTCCTGGGTGGGAAGACTTGATGTTATAAAAATGCCATTTCTCTTCAAATTAATCTAAAAATTTAATGTACCCCAATTATAATTCCAAAATTATTTTCTGTTTGGAACCTGTTATTTCCAAGTCCATCAGGAATAATAAATACACAGGTATAGCAAAGGAACTTTTGAATATGGGGAAGAGGAGTGAAAGACTGACCTACTAGATATTAAAATAAACCATGAAGCTGAAATAATTGACACAGTGAATATCAAACATTCGGTGGAACAATGGAAAGCCCAGAACATACAGATACACATACACATACATGTATGTGCACATACATAGACATTTTAAATAGGCAAAAGTTGATGGGTGTTAGGACAGGTGACTTATCATCTGGGAAGAAAATCAAATCGCTACTATACCCCACACCTCATATCAAAACAAATTCCAGTTGGTTTCTGATGCAAAAACAAAATCAAACAACTTTTAAAAGAAATTATACACTATCATTAAGAAACACTTGGGTTTTCTATATATTTTTTCTTTTTTATTATTTTTTAGGCTGCTAAGTTTGTGGACATATCATTCACTTGGGCTTTCTAAGGAGGCAATACAATTAACCACATAAAACTTGAAAATGCCTATGCCAACCCCTTTCCCTTACCCAAACGAACAAAACAGAACATAGTTAAAAGGTACAAGCACAAATTGGAGAATATTTATGGCCTATATGACAGTCAAAAGGTTAATTTTCTTTTATTGTTTTTTTCTTTTTTTTTTTTTTTTGGAGACAGGGTATCTCTTTGTTGCCCAGAATAGAATGCAGTCATGTCATAGCTCATTGCAGTCTTGAACTCCTGGGCTCAAGCAATCCTCCTGCCTCAGCCTCCCTGGTAGCTAGGGCCACAGTGTGTGCCACCATGACCAGATACTTTTTTTTTTTTAGAGACAGGGTCTCACTATGTTGTCCAGTCTGGTCTGGAACTCTTGGGCCCAAGCAATCCTCCCTGCTTGGCCTCCCAAAGTGCTGGGATTATAGAAATGCATCATTGGTCCTAGCCAATTTTCTCCATAGATAAAGAGTAACTGAACTACAATGTGACAAAGATAAGCATCTCAACACGAAAACAGTTAACAACAACAAAAAAGTAACAAAGGGCATAAACTGGTAGTTCACCAAAGAAGAAATACAAACAGCCAATGACCTGTAATTAAAAAAGCTTCTCCTTCATAAAAATATAATAAATGTAAACCGGAAGAAAATGGAACTTGATTATCAAATTAGCAGTGATTAATAAGATTTGGGGTGGTGAAGACGTGAGTGAATGAGCTTGCTTTCAGATTGCTGGTGGGAGTGCAAGGGGATACAAATTTTCTAAAAGACAATTTGGACAAATTTGTCCAAAAATTTAAATTTTAGTCTTTTTATTAAACCAGACATTTTATTTTCAGGCAGTTACATAAATAAAAATTTATATCTCTAGCTATACAGATTATCATTGCAGTAATAATAAGAATATTAAAACCTGTAAATAATCAAAAGGTTGTTACAATAAATTATGGCAAGTTCATATGATGGAGTATTCAATGTTTTGGAAAACATTCACTATAAATTTTTTAATGCTCCATTCATGGCATTTTTTTCATTATAAATTGTTGAATGAAAAAAGCAAGTTACTTAAGAAATATATAGATATATGCATGCACGAGTATATTTAGGTAGGCATATTTAAGTGTATATGTGTGTGTATAATTATATATATATAGTTAGCTTGACACAGCCAAATATTAACAATTGTTATTAACATGCAATAAGAATATAAGTGATTCTAAATTTATTTCCTTCTGTAAATCTGCATTTTCTAAATTTTCTACAGTGAGTATGGATTACCTTGGGTGTACGAAAAAAATAAAATATATTTAAAAACAGATGTGCTTTGTTTAAAGTAGCAGAACATTTTTTTTCAAATAGAATTGTATGTGATATCCCAATTTCTGAAACCAATAAAAGGGGTGAAGTATGGGTAGGCGGCCGAGAGCCCTGCTCACTAGACGGATGTTCTTGAGGGCGCACTTTGAAAGGTCAGGGCCTGGGGAATTCTGCTGAGAAATCATTCCATGTTAATACCATCTCTAGGAGCTACATTAAGTGTTGTTAGTGAACCCATACAAGGCTCCACGATTGCTGGTTACCTCTGTAGTTACTCATAAACTATTTAATAGCTCTTTCCATTTTAGTTTACTGTATTCATTGTTGTCTATTCATGCAGAAATCATTTTTTTAAGTTTTCTAGATTTTTAGATTTGTATCATATTAGTTTACCTGTGCATTAGAACTAAAATGATTTTATTATTACATGGAAATAATTACAGAATTATAATTTGAGGCCACACCCTCAGGTTTTATTGAAAGTTGATATGAGAAATGACCATATGAAGAATGAACCTCCATTTTCCCTAAAATTATTATTAAATACACTGTCCATTCTGGTGTTCAAAGGCCCTTATATATAGATGCATGTGATAAATTCCCCTAAAATTTTAGTATGAAAAATAAAGTTTGCCCACTTTGATAAGCATGACTTAAAAAAAAATAATGCTGTATTATTCCTGTATAACTCATCATGTTCCCCTTTTGGCTTTGACTGCCAGAAAGCTCAGAGCTATATTTATTGCCAAACCACAGCAATGAACAGTGGCCTAATTTTGCAGAAAAATTCTGTCCCAGAGCACTTGAGTGTTTACCCTCAACTAAATGGTCCTGTGATGTGCATGGCTTATGTTATGAGTTGTCACAAATCCAATCTGGAAATAGGCAAGGATTAAATAATAAACAAACAAACACATAAGTAATTTGGACTAAGCGGTCTTGGTCTTTGGCAATAGAAAATGCTCACACCTAGAATTTGGTTTGTAGCAAATGTCTGTTAGGCACATTGCCTAAATCTAGTGTACTACTCGGGGGTGAGTCTGCCCCTCGGTACAGCCATGGACACTTGGATCTTTCTGTTACTGGGGTTCACACCCATATTCACCCATCCCATGATGCTGGCTCCTTAGAAGGTGGTCTGTATGGCAGCTCAGTAAGGATATCAGGTTGAAAGGGTGTGAAAGAGCAAGGATCAAGCAAACTAGCAATTTGTTCAGTTTCCCATGGATCTTAGCCTTTAATGTAGTTGATAGAAGAAGATCTTGCTGAAATGGACAAGGAAATAGACAATTTTTACACAAATTGACAATTCTTAGGCAATGGTGTGTGTGTGTGTGTGTGTGTGTGTGCGCGTGTGTTTATTATAACATCCAACAGTAGATTAAAAAATATTAGGTGAGTTAAGATACTTCCTTACCTTTCTAGAAGGTCAAATATTTTTTCTTATTATTAATACTACTTGGATCATTTTATAAGTTAAACTTGAATAGAATACAGAATGTGGAAGAAAGGGAACTAATGTTTTTTGAATGACTGTGATGTAAATGATTTGCCTACATTATTTCACTGAAGGGACATGGCTACTGTTTTCTTCTGAAATGCATAAGCTTTCCAGCTACCTCCTTAATAAAGTGGCAATGCACTAAAATAACAGAATTTGTATTGAAATAATTTAGATACAAAGGCCTGGTAGGGTGGAATCCAGTAATGTAGTCTTGATTATAGTGTCATAAGAACTGGTGGGTGGCTTTCTGTATTGGCAGCAAACACCCTTGAAGCCAACGGGAATAGCTTGGACTGTGTGGTTCTGCAGTAAGTTGGGCCAGCTGATTAAAGCAATAGGTTCTCATTACTAAAAAGATTTGCCATGGCATTCACAGGAGAGCCAAGACCAGCCAAGGAGCAACTGAACCAGGCAGTTGCCTGGGGCTCCAACTACTTCCTTCCTACCTACCCTTAGAGGTCCGCTTGATGTTTCACAGATGGAGTTTCATTTGAGGTAGAAATGCGTGGTCCCCCAGAACCCAGGCTCTAAAATTGAATTTCCTGGTTTTAAATCCCAGCTCCATCACTTACTGTTGGCTGAGTAAACTGGGCATAGTCTTTTACTTTTGAATCTTTCTATCGATTAATGAAATCACCTATGAAAGACAGCTGGCCAGCATCTGGCTCATGGTACACCCTCAATATATGTCAACTTTTATTATTATTTATTATTTAGACTTAAAGTATCACCTATTAAAATGCAAACACCGAGGGAGGTATACCTTGCTACCAGTTACGAAGGATTCTTACCATTCGAATGTCCGTTAAGATGTAATGAGCAGAAAGGGATCCAGGATTGAAACCTGGGAGAAGCAGGGAACGTGGCTTGAGGAGAGAAAGAGCATTAACATTTTGCTGGAAGCCATGGAGATTCTTCTGCATGGAAAAGCACCCAATTGTTGCAGTAACCCAAGCACAAATCCTCATGGTTGCAGAAAGGCAACCTAATTGCTCAATCCAGATCCTAGGATCTGCAGCCCTTGGGTCTAACGAACTGCCCCCTTTCTATCAACTGTTCCACCTTAGAGGACTCTCTCTATAGACTTTCTGTGGTAAGAGACATTAAACTGTACAGCCACCACATTTGCTGTTTGTTTTCCTACCTGCCATGGAACATATGTGAAGATCTCAACCACCGACGTGTATGGAGATGTACCTACCCTAGAGAGCCTGCTAACATTGAAACCTACTGTTAAGAGCCACTGAAAGCCACCACCCTTCTCTACAAAGCAGTTGTGGGTATCCTTTCACACTCTCAATGAAGACTTCCATTTGAAAATCATCCATCACACTATAAATCAGTCTCTTCAACACGCCTCCTGTCCAGCCAGGAGAAGAGAGGAAAGCATTTAGGAGATGTTCCATTAAGCTGTTTGGTACAAAATGGATGAATTACTATTATTTTTTCTCTCCAGCGTACCCAAGAGAGGCTGATTCTGACCCAAACCATTCACATGCACTATTTAAGAGAGACTTCATTTCACCTCCTGCTAGGTCAGGGAGGGGCACACACCAGAGCCACACACATATTCACACATCCAGTTGGCTGTGCAGCATGAAGCACTGACCTGTTAGGCCGGCAGCCTCGGCAGACAGGAAGGCACTCCAAGAAAGCAGGAAAAACAGGCCGGTTTCCAGCATCGGGAACTCACACAGCTTGGTAAATTTGGTCAAGTGAGGAAGATAAGTTAAGGGAAACAACAACAGCTTTTACAGCTACATCTCCTTCTTGGCTGAGAATAAAAACTGATCTGGTGATGATAGCTCTAGAGCAAAGTAAAAGAACTGATATTCAGACCTGACTGGAAGGCCATAATTCTCACTGGGACCTACTTTGAAGGCCAGCACGAGTTCCATGCTTCACCGGGGGCTGAACGTGCCTGTAAAAATTCAAACCTGTGTTCAGATTAAAAAGGTGTCTTCCTAAGACTATAAATTCAGCTCACTGTGGGCCTAGCCTCATCCCTTGGGATGCACCCCTCAGGAAAGGTGTAGCAGGCACGGAAAAACAAAGCCAAGGAGAGTGTAGGGGGATGAGATGCTGCAAGTATGTCAGTACCAAGGAGCGCTGCTCCCTCGGGAGTGCAGTCTGTGGGCAGACGACCTGGTAGAGTCTTCTCTCCTGGGGATGGAAGTAGGATCAGAAGAAGAAGTTACATTCAGTGACAGGGAAGCTGTCCATGCCCTCTTGGTATAAGTAGGATAAGGAGAAGGTATGTTATTTATAGGTTCCATTATTAATGAACCATTATTATTGGTTCATTTTGACAAGGATGACACTTGGTCAATGGTCTATAAATTGCAAATAGAACAAAGGGATAGTAGTGATTCAAGTTGGGCAGAGAATGGATCATGCGGAGATGATTAGGAGTACGTGATCGATGGGAAAGGGTTAGGTTGCAATTGTGTCAATATTAGGCACAAAATGCCCTGACAAATAAGGAGATGTGATCGTGTTGCATTTTTATACTGCTACAACAAAATCTAAAGAAAATTTCACACTAAGAGACATTTAGCAGGGGAGCAGGGAGCAAAAGTGTGACCTCTGGAAAAGAACATTTTATTCTGATTCTTGACTCTGCCAGTGACTGGCTGTGTGATTTCTCAGCAGTATATTAACCTCTCTGAGCCTCATTTCTATTCTACATGAATTGACAATGAGAATAATACCTGATCCTACATGAAAGTAAAATGTGCTGAAGTATGGTAAACATGTTTTGTAAAGTTTTAGAAAGCACAAAGGCAGAATAATATCATGGTGGGGAGTGTAGCATTTGGAAGCCAATTCTACCTGGATTAAAATTCACAGTATTCACTTGGACACATCTCTTGACCACTGTGTGCCTGAGTTTTCCTGTCTGAAAATGAGAATAATAATACCACCTACCTCAGAGGTCTGTAAACTAGTTAATATATGTTAAGTACTCAGAACAGTGCCTGGCATGTAACAAGTGATATGCAACTTGTCTACTGTGGTCTAAATTAATTTTTGGTTTTTTTTGGTAAAACATCTTTTTGGGAAATAGAATCAGTAAGGATCTGGAAGCAATTCTTTATCTGCTGTAAAGAATGGGCTGCCCTGAGATCCTTTTACAATATTCCCTTTTGTTACTTAGAGGGAAGTCTTTGTTTCTAGTGAGGTCTGTTCTCCTGAATTCCCTCTTCTAGTTTGTTTTAAAGAGAATGTTCAGGGCAGGTGAGTAACAAAACAGCAATCAGCTATCTAACATTCTTTTCTTTCAATCTCCTCCAGAAACTAGTTCAGCTCTGGGTCTGCAGAGCTCAGGGGCCTACAACCCGAGGAGACAGCCTCAGAATGAAATGGGTAGGTGGTTAGGAAGGTGAGGAGGACAACAGTAAGCATTTATCTCCTTCATAGCCTGTGTCTGTAGAGCCTGTTGAAGACCACCAAATACTGCACGATCAATGTCACCACTGTTACCGAGCCTGTTTCTTCCGTCTCTACACCCTTTCTTTCAGATCTGATGCAATCTTATGCCAGACTTCCAATCTCCAGGAATTTTTTCTTCCCTTATCAACCTGTTCACATATGTTACACCTTCCCCTCACATCAGGTAGAGAAGAATTCTGATTTTAGTTTCTCCACTTAGCGTAGCCTCCAGAGCCCAAAAGCCTGGGTTTGAATCCTGGCCCTGAAATGTCCTAGTTGTTTGGCCTTAGCCAAGTTGTTTAACTTTAATTGTCTCAGTTTCCTTAGCTGTAAAATTGGGATAGTAACAGTATCTACCTTCCAGTGTTCTTGTAAAACTTATCTGATGATCCATGCAAAACACTTAGGGCAATGGCTGGCACACAGTAACGTTTTCAATAAATGTTAGATGATGTGATTATTACCATGCTCACTATTACTGATATATGATCCTGAGTGAGCTACGTATCCTCCTTGAGCCTCAGTTTCCTCGGGTGTAAGGTGAGGAGGACAATAACTTGTTTTACAGGGTTGATTCAAATGAGGAGATGCATAGAAAGGCTCTGGCACATGCTAGACACTCACAAAATGTTCCTATCCTTGTTGCTGTTACTCACTCTAAACAACACCTGGCCTCCACACAGCTCCAACTAAGAATTAAGAGGCAATAGGGAGCAGTGAAGAGAGCATGTTCGGCCTCTTGATTCTCACTCTCCGGGTTTACTTGCTGGCTGCATGACCTTGGGCAACAGCTTACCCTTTCTAAGCTTCACATCCAATAAAAATAGCATCTGGTGATAGGATCATTGTGAAGGTTAGATGAGACACTCATGGAAAACACGTCGTAGGCAGCCTGTCATAGCATAAGTACTGGGTAGGTCATTTTTTCTTGTTGGAAACCAGCACTACCTCTTCTGACTGACTTTATTTCTGTCAATGGAGATGCCATTTTACAAGGTTCTCAGGATGAAACTTTGGAGTAGCCTTTGACTGTCTCCTTTTCTTTATCTCCAATAGCCAGCCAATCACTAAGTCTTAGAGATTTTTCCTTTTAAATATCAGTCCCCTTCCTGATGCTTCCCCCGCAGTTCATCATCACAGTTTCCCTTGATTCTAGTCTCCTTCCTCTGATTCATCCTTTGTTCCAGTTCCTCATCTATATTTTAAAAACAGGACTGTCAGTGTGTCACTCTCCTGAGCAGAAACCTTTGGCAGCTAATTGTGGACTAGAGAAAGAGGCTCAGACTCTTTGAAATACCACTTCAAGATATTCCACAAGCTGACTCCATCCCTCCTGAGTCCCCTCATCCTCCATTTCTCACTAGCTGGAGCCCTCTGGTCCTCCCAGGCATGTCTTCCAGATGCCACATTGGTCCCACTGCCATACCTTAGTGAATGCTAGTCTTCGCCTCCTGAATCACCGACTGCTCAGCCTTTGCCCCTATTCTATCTTCCAGGCCATGCCCAAAACCCACTCTGCTTATAAATACTGCTTTTCAAATTATTTTCCAGAATCATAAAGTTGGCCAAGGGTATTATACTATTCCAGACACAACAGCCTTGTCCCAGTTTGAGTGTTTACAGTGTGATAACTTCGATGCGGCTCTGGCACTCACTTTCTATCCCAGTCTTAATGTAGAGCTCATCTTTCTAAGCCTGTCACTCACTGAGGGCAGGGTCCTTGTTTTACACATCTCCTGACTCTTCTTAGATACCCCCAGTAGAATGAAGCATTTTAGCAGCTGCTCAGTGAATGTCTGGGCAAGACCCCATAGAAAAAGGCCCCCAATATTTTGCCTTCTCTTTGCCTGGGGCCTTCACCCCTCTGGCACACTTCTTCCTTCTCCTTCCCCTGAGGTCTTTGGCCCTAGATCTTCTGTTCTACCTCTCTTCTGTGGCTCCACCTAACCCTTATACTTGACATTGGCCTTCTGGCCTTCCTCCTCTACTCCAGCTTACTTTTGCCCTATCTGAATGTTCTAAGTGAGCAGCCCACCAGACCAGCTTCTTTCTTTGGCTCAGATTCTCTAGAAACTCCATCTATCATCCCAACTTCCTAACAACAACAAAAAGGAATCAAATGACATGATTGCTCAGGTATGGCACACATATCATTTCAGCATTGCTTGCAGGTTCCCTTCTATAAAGTAGCTGTGGATGCTTGTTTAGACCCACAGTGACCTCTGGCTTGAGCTACCCTGTAAGCTAGTGATTGAATAAGCCTGAAAAAGAGGCAGATCATACCCAATTTATCACCCTTAATCAATTGTCTTATTCTTGACCCTGGATCTTCAGTTCTTCCTCTTGACCCTAGTAAGGCCAATCCTGATGGTTCCCGTTCACTAGTTTTCCTAGGTGATATTTATTTAAGGCTGTTGATGTCCTAGGATCAGATAGTGTCAATAGCATTAGAACTGACCTTGGGCAAGAAGAGAGCTTGGGCCCCTCTGCCACTGGTACCAACCTATGCCTCCAGGGGTGACTGAGAACCAAGATGGCACCAGTGGTGCCGTATGAAACTTGGACCAGACTATCTAGCCTTTTATGGGCCTGGAGGTTGTCCATCATCAGAAATATTCCATGGATACTGACTGTTCTTGACAGTCCCAGCTTTCCACATACAGACAAAGGATATCAGTGCTGTGATGATGGCATACGCAGACCCCATTGCAAATGAGCCAGCGAAGATTCCCAGGAAATTCCCCACAGACTGGAAGAATGCTGCGGCATCAAATGCATTTGGATTCTCCTTGGGACTGTAAATGGATATAGAACTGAAAAGAGAAGAGGGTGGAGGTTAGTTAGTGACTTTCATCTCATAGCCCAGATAGGATTTCGCACCCACTTTGGGGAGAGGTATCTTTCCCTGTAATGTTGGGTGCTGGTTGGAAGAGTTAGGGGAAAACAGATACAGAAGGGGAGAGTTGGAGAATGCAGAAATCTTTCTGCTTCCTTATAGCCCCATCCCATGGGATCTATATATTGCTGCCAGTCAGTAAACATTTTTATATTGGAAGGGTCATAAAGAATATTGTTTCTGAGCAAACTAGGCATTAAAACATGGTAGGTGTATAAGGAATCTGCTGAGAAGATAGATAACTGTGAATTATTTAGTGGCCATATGTCTTCAGTGCTGTTATATATTCACAGATGTTCCTGATAAAAAGTGCACTTTTATGGCCTGTGCACAAATGGGTGATACAAATCACCGTGTGCACAAAATATTCTGCCATGATCTTGTCATAAACCACAAAGCATTCCTCCTCTCCAGTGTAACCCTTCAGAAACAGAGCACTGATGGTGCTCAGAACATCACAGTACTAACCCCCATGGAGAGACAAAACCCTCATTTTCCCACCAAAACAAATGGCAACAGCTGCCCAAGGTCATCTTTTATACCCCAATTCTGGCGGCTGCCAACAGATTTATTTCCATAGAGAAAAATCAATCCACCAATAGGCAGTCTGTTCACTTAAATATTATTGAGGATGTCATATAAGCTATTTTTTTTAAAACCAGGGCCTCAGATCCCAGAGTGTGAATATGAAGGATAAGGCATGTCCTATTTTAGGAAATATGAACTCCATATTGAGCATTAAAATGAACATATGTGCTAGATCCACTAGCTTTAGGGAGACTAATGAAATGACATTTCAGATTTTTTTTTGCAGTTTTTTATTTTAATACAGGATTTTAAAAACTAATCAGGAAAAATCAAGAGTTTAGCAGTGGGTTTTGGAAGAAACTCCAAAAGTAGCAGTGTGGAGAGCAAAAGTACACTAGACACATTGACTGAGATTAGATTGGATTTTACAGAGATGTAACTGAATCTTTTATCTTGCCAATGATTAGAGCATGTTAGCTCTCTGACCTGACTTTTGGTATCCAGAGATGACTTAAGAGAGAGCAAGGGGAACCAACTCCAATGCTTCTACAGGAAGATGTGTGGCATCAAAAAAGGTAGTTTTAAATGGTCTTAGTTTTTTCCTGGATGTCTTTAAACCCCCAAAGTAGGCCAAACACTTCTGCTTTGATCCTGTAATTGGATAAGGAAGATGAATGTGGATCTTGAATGAAGCCTTGAAATGTATGCGAGAAAAGGACTGCCTTTGAAGTGTTTTTCTTTTTTGTAAAGTGTTGTGCTTTGCAGGAAAAAAGGAAAAGTAAACCCACATCTGGGTCCTTTGTATCTGCAAGTCCTGGGAAAAGGTATAAAACTCCACTGGTTGTTAGGAAACCTGGTGCCCAAGGCTGTGATGCTTGATGTGTTTGAGTTGACATTCTCCAGCATGTTTCTTCCTTCCAGTGAAGAAACAAGAGTGATGAGAAAGCATTCCATTTGCATTCTGCCCTTCAGACAAAGGTTTTTGCACAGTAGCACAGCTTTAGAAGTAATTCTATTAACCTGTGGTTGCCACTAGTAGATCTGACCCATAGAACAAGCACGGCTTTATCCTTCTCTCCACCTCCATAACTTCCAGAAGTGTTTCCCTGGCCTGGTGCTTCTGGAATTCTGAGCGCTCCCATCACATCATTTGGCCATACCCTGTACCATTATTTATGTACGTTTTTCTTTAAATCATTTTTATTCAAATTCAGGAGATTTTATTAAAGAATATCTATGAAATCATAAGTTCGATGTGCTAATTATATTTCTTTTTAATATATGTAAAAATAGGTAATTTAGAAAAAGAAAGTTCACCTGTATGTCACCTAAAATCATCTGGGTGTGCCCACTGATCTGTAGTCTGCACTTTGGGAAATGTTCTCTTCCTTCCCACTCAACAGGGTATGATCACTTTGTTCGCCAAACTTTGTACCCTTCCTGTGATATTTGACTTAACTGAAGGGAAAGGCTTAATTATCCTTGACCTATGGAGATTGTCCATTGAATTTGCTGGCCCTAAAGCTCCACAGACATATGCACTAGGTGCCTGCCATGTGACAAGTGACATATTTAATAGGTATAGGAAGTGGGAGGCAGGCAGGGAAGAGCATAGAGAAGGGAAGCAGGATTTGATCCAATAAACATCTTATCAAACACCTGATATATGCAAAGCATAACTCGGCAGGGAAGCCTAAAATGTAAATGACAAATAGCTGTAGTCCCAGTGTTAAGTGTGATTTTGTGAGAAATACACAACATTTAACGGTACAAAGGGGAAAAGGGGTACTATTTTAGAATAAAGGAGGTGGCATTTGAGCAAGGTAGCATGTCATCAGACAGAGATGGGGAGAGAGTATTCCAGGCAGTGGAAAGAGTGTAAAGAAAGGCAAGGAGGCAGGTGAGTTCAGGGCAATTGCAAGACATGGCTGCACCTATGTGGGCACGTGTGGTGGGGTAAAGATGGGTGAGGCAGCATTACTCAGAACCTTAAGTTCCATGGTGAGAATATACTAAATACCTCACATTTACATAATATTTAGCCCTCTTGTGCCTACAGTATAGCTTTATTTGATCCTATAATAGCTCTGTGAAGTAAGCAAGGCATGTTTTGTTCTCTCTCCTTATCCCTTTCTCTCTCCTTCCTTCCTTCCTTCTTTCCTACCTTCCCTCCCTCCCTTCCTTCCTTCTTTCCCTCCTTTTGTCTTTCCTTCCTTTCTCTTTCTTTCTTTGCATAAAAGACATAAACTAAAAATCAGAGAAACTAAGATCACACAGCTACTAAGTTCACAATGTAGATTTCTTGTTTCTCCCTTTAAAAAGGCGATCATGTTGTGGGGAAACATAAACCCACATCAGGATAGTTGAGTGACAGTGTGATGCTAACTATAAGGACAACAGGAGTTCAGGTACTAGAACATTTATTTTCATGCCCGGGATGGAACATGGGCAGCACCTTCCTGTATACAAGCATAAGAGCGGAGTATGTTGACTAGGGCAACAGCACCGTCTCTCCTGGCCCACCAGCAGGTGAGACTCAGAACTTCTCAGGAAATCCTGCTTTCCTGCCTGGCTTTTCTGAGGCTGGACTCGGTCTTGCTTCTCTTTGGATGCCCAGGACACAGCCTGTTGTTTGGCACATGGCAGGGTATAAAAAGGCTGACGGAATGAAGGTGCGGGACAACTGGAAAGGAGAAAGGAATAAAGAAAGAAAAGCATGAAGGAAGGAGGCTTGCAAAAGCTCGTTATCTCTTGAAGCAAATCACCACCCACAAGATTTTTTAGCAGACATTGACTATGCACAGTCATATTGTGGGTACTTTTATGGGTATCAATCTAATCTTGAAACTGACACCTGTGCCTCTTAATTTGAGCCCAAGATCTGATACTTATTGGCTATATGGCCTTGGGCAAGTTACTGCATATTCAGAATCATTTACCTCATCTGTAAAATGGAGATAATAATAGTATTTATCCCCTAGAAATGTTGTGAGGATATGAGATACATTTAAAACTCTTAGATATATCTTGTGGATTAAGTCGTTCCTTGAGTACTTATATGTACACTCAAATACTCAGTGAATGTTATTTATCCTCACCGTCATCATCATCATTCTGCTGAGAACTTCCACAAGTCTCACAATAACAACAGGGTGGTCAGTTACCACTGTGGGCAAATGGGGTGTGACTGCCCTCAGGGCACACCAAGCTCTGAGGTTGCTGGGGCTGAACTAGTCACTTTTGCATAAGAACAACAGGGTGTCCAGGAAGGAAAGTACCAGGCAGGTACCGCAGAGAAATGGCCATAGGAGTGGGGCTAAAATGTTCTCATGTATTTCATGCAGCTCTTGGCTCAGTGGATCAAGGAGGGAAGGAGTGCCCTCAGCTGTGTGGGCAGGGGTCTGCTCCATGGACAAGAATAGGTCAGGAGACTCAGCTTGAGTTGCATCTCTTCAAGTTTAGTGGAGGATGTTCTATAAGCAAAGTCCTCTGGCTTCTAGTAAGAAATGAGGCAAAAGAAGCAGAAGCCAGGCTGGGCAGGGTGGCTCGCTCCTGTAATCCCAGCATTTTGGGAGGCCGAGGTGGGTGGATTTTGATTGCTTGAGTACAGGAGTGTGAGACCAGCCCAGGCAACATGGCAAAACCCCATCTCTAAAAAAAGTACAGAAATTAGCTGGGTGTGATGGTACTTGCCTGTAGTCCCGGCTACTCAGGAGGCTGAGGTGGGACGGTTGCTTGAGCAGGGAAGGTTGAGGCTGTAGTGAGCTGTGATTGGGCCACTGCACCCTAGCCTGGGTGACAGAGCAAGACCTTGTCTCAAAATAAATAAATAAAAATATATATAAATTAAAATTTAAAAATAAATAAATTGGAAATAAGTCCAGGATATTGATTCATTCTGTTCAACAATAGATTATTCAGCAAAATTAGTTTGATGACAGTGTATTGGACCTATACTCAAAAATAAATGTGTGCAGCATCTTTTATTCAAAAATTTTGAAATGTATGAAGTATCCTAAATTCTTTGATGAAAGCAACATGAATAAGGATCATTTTGCTTACTGTATCATTTCACTTTCACAGACATTATTGAGACTTCAGTGTTTCTCTACAACTCATCTTTTCTTCTATATGATGCTCCTGCAAGGAATGGGTCTGATAGCTTAGGCAGTGTTAAGAGCATAGAATCTGAATCTGAGTTCTGGGTGTAAGTCTCAGCTTACTGCCACTTACTGCCTATGTGAACTTGAGCAAGTTATTGAAACCACTTTTATCTCAGTTTCTATAAAATGATGATGACAATAATAGTACCAACCACACTGGGTTGCTATGAGAATTAAATGGATTAATGTTTATAAAGCATTTGAAATGGTGTGTCTCACCCAGTAAGAACTAGATAAGCATTTCTTAAATAAATCACCTCTCTCTCTGAGTGCTTCATTTAGTTCTAAAAGAAGCATTTCAAACAAATGTTCAATCAAAACTTCTATCCAAACAGAACTAAGATTTTACCACCTGTCTCTCCCACTCTGACTGTCCCAGGCCTACCATCTTTGGGTGGCAGGGATCATCTGATCATATGAATTTGTTTTGTGCAGAATGGTGTGTGGCACATAGTAAAGTGCTCAATAAATGCTAGTAATGAAGAAGAAGGAGGAGGGGGAGAAGAAGGAAGAAAAAGAGGAGGAAGAAGAGATGTTGTGAGTGAAATGCTGCTGATAGTGAACATAAAATAATAGGTATGAAAAATATTATATAGATGGCACCACAACAATGCCCTCCCCTCTGTGGCTCTGGCTGCCCTTCCACTGTGGCCTTACGGAGTCATCTCTCTCCTGATCACGACACTCTTCCTCAAGGTCTCCTAGTTTCCAACACCACCTTCCCCTGTTATTCTTTACTGGGGCTGCTGAGACACTTTGCCGCACAGTTACCCACAGAAACTACCCAGCCACCTCAAGCTCCTGGCGGCCCTGGTTCCACAGGATGCTCTCCCTGACCGGTCCTCTCAAATCCCACAGCCTACTCACCCTCCTGGGTGCCCATGCCAATTAGAACAGCCCGCTTCTCCAGCCTCAGTCCAGCCTCACTCCCTTTGTTAACATGAAATCAATGTCGCTTGAAAGCTTATGAAAAGAACATATGAAGTGAACATATTGTATCTCTTGCAGGATTTCTATTAATTTAGTCATTACAGAAAAAATGAGAAAATGATTACTGTAGCCAAAGATATACAAAAGAACCTTCCATTTTCTCTGCCAAATATGTAATCCCTAACAAAAAAATTATTGGCACCAGTTCATTGAAAAGTTCTTGATTAGTTGGAACATACATAAATATGAAATGGATCTTTTTTCCAATCACTGCTTCCAGCTGTACTATATCAAATCCCCCTTTGTGCTGGGTAAGTAGTTCCATTAATGATATCTTGGTCAAATCCCATTACTGAGTTCCTTTCAGTTATTAAAACTTAGCGCAGCCCAACTTAAAACCTAAATCTTCAAAGGTGGATTCCTGTTGTCCCTGTAGAATATTCTAGAGCAGCAGCAGGATGACTGGAAAGGAGGGAAGGCAGCATGCTCCTCCTCCTCACACCTGGTGCCAGTGTCTGCTGGTGATGGAAGCCTGGAGGAGGGCTGGGGAGCCCAGCTCTCCTCTTTATGGGCGTAACTGCTTGTCAGCGGTGTGTAGGGTCCCGGCCTGGTCTCAGTCTTTTTGCTGCTTTGTCCCTGTCTTAGAGACCTCTGTTGGCATGATGGCACCTCCATTTTGCTGAGAATCCCTTCACAGCTGCCACAAGATCTTCCAGGTCTATACACTTCCAGCCTATTTCCTTGGGTTGGGTCAGTAGCCACTTGGGCAGCTCAGTGCCTGTCACCCCTCAGGAGGTGAAAGGAAATTCCTTGTGGACAAAGGACAGACAGAACTCAAAGTCATCCCTCTGAGCCTCACCTGAGACAAATGCATATCTGATTGTTTCTGCCCTATAGTTTATGTAAAAATACAGATTTCACTGAGCCAGACTAAATTGTATATTCAGTGGAAGGCTGATCAAGGACTCAAAAGAATGCAACCTTTTGTCTCTTACCTACCTCTAACTTGGAAGCCCCACTTCCAGCTCTCCCTCTTTACAGGACTGAACCAATGTACATCTTACACATACTATACACTCATGTCTCCCTAAAATGTGTAAGAGCAAGCTATACCCTGACCACTGTGGGCACATGTCATTAGGACTTCCTGAGATTGTGTCACGGTTGTGTCCTTAACCTGGTCAAAGTAGACTTTCTAAATTGACTGAGACCTGTCACAGATATTTTGGGCTAACATCGCCAATCTCCTTAATCTGGGGTTCCCCTGAGTACCTTCCATGGGCCATAGAACACTGGGCTGGGTGGGCTTACCCCACATACTCTCAAGGCACATCAAACCCAAGAGCCTTCAGGTTCTGCTCATGCTGACTCCTGCTTTCAGAAATCTTTAGGCCAGAAGAGGTGCTGGTCTCTGTGTTTTGTGTGAGCCCACACTCTGAGGGCCATGTCCAATAACTCCCTTCCCTTGCTCTGCTTTGAGAGGGCTTTGGCTCCACTGCAGGTTCTACACTGTGGGATGAGCTCGCAGCCTCTGTCCTTGCAGGTGGCACCAGCCTTTCCAGGTGATTCCAGTAGACTCCCCTTCCCCTTGGCTTAGGGAAGAGGAAGAACTTTCATGGGAAGGGATAACAGTATAACAGTTTACACCTCAAACACTGCACTCTCCCCAGGGATAACCCCTTTCCTTCCCCACCCCGTCATACACAGATGTGAGGCAAAGGGGATGGGGTGGGGGCGGGGGAAATGAGGCTGCTTCTGATGCCAGTTAAGCCAGCTGAGGGGTGAGCATCCTAACTGCTGGGGAGACTTGCTGCTCTTTTTAGTATGAAACCATTTAGCAACTTCTGTTTTCAGCCATGGTTCCTAACCCCAATCTGGTAAACAGGAAAAGATCCACAAGATCATCATGTGACATTTATGTGGGAGTGCTTCTAGTTTCTTTTCTCCACATCTACAGCTGCCTTGTCATTCTGCTTTTAAAGACACATTTTAAGGACCAACACAACATAAAGGGGCAACGAAAATGTGTAAAACCTGCTCTGTTTTTTTGGGCCTGGGTGTCACAGGTAGGAAGCAAGTAGATGAAAAACAATTACAGTGCTATTTTGTGTTTAAAATTCTTTATGCCTTAAAAAAAAGAAGTGGATCCTTATCTATTATTTATCTTTTAATAACTGTACCAACCTGCCCTTTCTCAGATAAGTTGCTTAATTATGAATAAGGAATTGATTTTTATGGGGCCAAGAATTGTGTGTACACATCGGAATTCGTTCTGGCATCTCCCTGCCCATTATTCTGGCTTATGTTCTGCCAAAGGCCAATGAAGCTCTGTCAAGAGAACCTACTGTAAAACATAATGACTTCAGAAATTGGGGGCATTCCAGGCACCCTGGGAGGTTAGAAGAGCTGCTTCTTAATAATAAGAGGTCCTGGCCAAAGTTCACTGAGCTTGAGTAAGAACCATAGGGTTTTACCTTCCCAAGAGCCAAAGACCCTGCAGAGTCAAGAGCTGTGTTTGAGGGGAAACATCAATTAACTCTTTCTGCTTCTGAGGGACCATTTAATGACTGCTCCTTAAGAATCCAAATGTATACCAGAGAGTGATTTTCCAAATCCTTGATGAATATCATCTTGTCATTTTGATGTCAGGCACAAGAGAAAAATACAAGAGGAATTCCGTGGGAAGGATAAGCTAGTGTATCATGGCTTCCTCGGGAATAACGCAATCTCAGGCTGAATTAATTGATTCATTCCATCCACAAATATTTATTGAACATCTACTAAGTACAGACATTGTTCTTAGCACTGAAGGTACTGCAGGGAACAAAACACAGCTCCTGACCTCATGTTCCTTACATCTCAGTGGAGAAGAAAACATAATAAATAGCTAAGCAAATAAATGTGTAATTCAATGACAAGGATTGAAAAGAAAAATAAAACAGCAAGAGAGGATGGGACAGAGAGGATTGGGATGGTCAGGGAAGGCTTCTCTGACAAAGATTATTAAGTGGAGTCCTGAATGAAATAAAGGGAGAGCTTTCTAGGCACCGAAGCAAAGCTTGTTCAGTGGGTCTGAGAAGCCACAAGGAGGCCAGCATGGCTGGAGGGAAATGGTGGGGAGGACAGTGGTGGGAGTCAGGCTGGAGTCAGGCTGGAGCCGGGCCAGGGCCATGTCTTATAGAGCCTTTCGGGACATTGTTAGGATTTTCTTCTAGGGTGAAAGAGCAGGCACTGGAGGGTTGGGGTAGAGGACAGGGGTGTGATGGAATATTCCAGGTGAAGTCTATGTTAGTTACAGTGGAGGAAGGTGGGTGGGAGACAACATGATCCCATGACACTCTTCAAAGGCTGCAGCAGCCAAGCCTGTCCTCATCAGCCTGGATGCCACCACCTAAACGAGACCTGACAAATAACAGCAGACCACAGGAAATAAAGTAGAGTAGTGAAGAAAAAGATTGAGAGAAGTATGGGAGTTCAAAGTATAGATTAATTTAGCAGAAACAGCTGCAGTGAGCATTTGAAAGGTGGTTGTGCAGAGGAAGGACTGGACTCATTCTTTGTATTTCCAGAAGACAAGATATAGTCCAAAAGTAACGTATCATAGGAAGACAGATTCCCAGCTTTATATTATATTTCAAAATTTTCTAATTCTTAGATCTGATGGAAAATGGGATGGGTACTATAAAAGGGTAGTGAATTCTCTGTAGTTGGAGATGCTTTAAACATAGAATAAAAGAGTTACTTGCCAGGGTGCTGTGGAGGAAATTCATGCCCTAGAGAGTTATAATGTGGCCTCAAGGGTCCTCCCACCCTGAGGGTCATTGACTTGCTATCTATTTTCCAATTTCCTCCAGGCCTGCCAGGAAAGGTAGTAAGGTACTTGGCTTTCCTGTGCTAACCCAAATCCTGACATTGGAAATGTCTGAGCACGCAGCCAGTAAGGAGCAGTACTTCAATAGAGGATGCAGATGATTTAGGTTGGAGCCAGGTTGATGATGACATCAAGAACAGTTACAAATTTCAGCACAGAAGAAAGCCTTTGACAGATTCCTAAGTGGCTCTGGTCCATTAAGTTCCAACTTTTAAGGTGACAAAGAGGCCTCTGAGTTTAAAATTGGTTAAAAGGGAAGAAGAGTTAAAGGAGGTTTGTTATGAATTATATGTGCATTTTCTTTGAAAAGAGATCTTAAATTACTTTCCAATTTAGCTTGAAACATGTTGTCAGAATTGAATTAGTCTGTGGGCTTTGAGAAATATTCTCTTATACCTAATATTGAGAGGAAAGTGAATTTGAGATAGTCCTAAAGATAAAAGCAACTTGCAAATTCACTTCTTATTTCTTTTTCTTTCTTTGTATTTCTCTTTAAAGCAGAAATAGGAATTTGAATCCCACTACTGTGGGCCTATTCATTTAAGAAAGAGAGAATAATTCTCATGGCCTAATGGGAATTTCTATCCTTTCTCCAACTTTTCAATTTCTTTAATCCTCATTAATGAAATCTTAGCTCCAAAGAATGCTGTCATATGCGAAATTTTAGTCATAATAGATATAAAAAGGTATGGAAAAGTAGGTTAATAGCCACCAAAGATGGAAATCCAGCTAAAGTTAAAATATAATCATAAACAGGTGCAAGCAAGACCAAATATTAATCCCCACGGTTGAAAATAGAGAAGGAGGTCAAATTCTCCAATGTTTACTGAGCCCTCAAAATACGATTCCCTGTATTCATTTCTATGAAGCATTCACTATGTGTCAAGCACTATGTTAAGCATTTTTATAAGCATTATCTTCTTTAACCCTCAAAGTAAACCCCAAAGAAGGTGCTACTATTATTTCCATTATAGATAAGGAAATTATGGCTTAGATAGATTAAGTAACTTTTAAAATTTCACCTCATTTAATCCTTCCAATTATCTAACAAAAAAAGTACAACCATGCACTGCATAATGACATTTCAATCCACAACAGACTGCATATACAACAGTGGTCCGGTAAGATTACAATACGGTATTTTTTTAATGTCTCTTCTCTACGTTTAGATACAGAAATACTTACCATTGGGTTATAACTGCCTACAATATTAGTATAATAACATACTGTACAGGTTTGTAGCCTAGAAGATATAGGTTATACCATATAACCTAGCTGTGTAGTAGGTTATACCATCTAGAAGACTTGTGTAAGTACACTCCATAATGTCTGCATGATGATAAAATAGCCTAACAAAGCATTTCTTAGAATATATCCCTGTTTTTAAGACATGCATGACTGTATTGTTCTCAGTTCAGAGATAAATAGACTCAGGGAGATTAAATCACTTGCCCAAGGTAACTTGCAGGTAAATGGAGCATCATTAGATTCAGATCTCACCAAGGGAAAGCCTGTGACTGGGGAGTGGAAATGCCTGGCTCTACCACCGGAATGTGCTCACAGAGAAATAACTCGAACATACACCCCAACTTCATAGACTGAGGCAAAGTCCACTCTTGGAAGTTGAAAATTTCAGGATTTCTAGTATTAATTTGCAAGAAAAAAAATTACATTAGTTAAAATATCTATTTCAATATGAGGAGTTTTGCTGACAACCTAGGGCTACTTACAGGCCAAGATTTCTTAATGGAGACCTCTCCTCTATATTGAATGGGTTTTAATATGAAACTATATCCCATATCTCCTGGCATTCATACCAACACCAACTTAGGTTTGCCATCCTACGCAGTTTGTCCTGTTTTTCCAAGTGGTGACTACTGTCTCTTTAGAGTAACTACTTATCTGTCTCAGCATCTTCATCTGGAAAATGGTGATAACAATTGTGTTTCCTTCATAGAGTGGGGATTAAATATGTTAATATGTGTATAGTGCTTAAAATGTTACCTACAACATGGAAAGCACTCCAAAAATATTAGCTGTTATTATTGCTATTTGCATTAGCTATATCTTTCACCATTTGCTCAAAAGAAACTAAATAAAAACTAAGCTCTACTTCTAATAATATAAAGGCATTTGGGAATTCCAACTAGTGTATTAGAACATTATAAGAATCTTTTGGGGTAGAATGAACAATAGGCTTAGAGTTTGATCAAATATTGAATTCATCTTTTTCTTAATAAGTCCTATAGAGCAGAAGGCTACTGGGATAGTATCAAACAAGGGGATGCATGTAAATTGTTAACAATCACTAAGCATGGACGATCCATGGTTTTGCAAATCTAACAAAGCTGAACTTTTAGCAGCCTTTCAGGGAAGGGTACACCGAGGTAGATATACCACAGAAATCCTGTGGCTACACCTGAAGGAAAATGTGTTTGTGAACAGAGGGTGTTTAATAAAGTTGTGTAGACTTGCTGATTAGCAACAGTCAAGGAAAAAAAACCATGAAAACAACGGAGTTTGCTTTCATGGCAAGATCACCAATTCACAGCTCACCACATGCTACATAGAGATAAAGAAGAATCAGCATAGGGCACTTGCTTAGATTGGAGCCTGCAGCGTTTCATAAATGCTGTGTGCTGAGGACTGTGATGAGTGGCTGAATAAAATGCTAGTTTCCTCTCTGGGTCAAAGGAGTCTTCATAGACAATGGGCTGCCTTCTTAATCTGGGTGCCTTTCATTCTCACATTAGATAAACCCCACTCCCATTATAAACAGCTGCCTGAGACGGCCTGAGGGAGTTTCACCTAGTGACAAGCCAACTCCTGGAAAATATTTGCACTGATAGACTCATTCCCCCAGACCCTTCCCTGATCTCCCATTTATTAGCAATTAAGTGAGCATCTGGGCCCCCATCACAGCTCAATTTAATTAAGAATCTGTATCCATCTTCTTAGAGTTGCAGATAATTTCACTTCGGTTCAAGTTATCTTTGGAAGGAAAGCACATAGTTATCTTCTTAAACTAATGTATTTCACAAAGGTAGTTGCCTCATTCCCACAGATTTCAGTGTCATGTGTGAAGCATGGGAACTGCAGGCCAGCAAATCTTATCAAAGGAAGTTTTGCTTCTATGTAATATTCTTAACTTATATGTTTCTAGGCGTTGCCATGAAGTGTATATTCTATAGAGGAGTCCTCTCTGGTATTAGCTCTTCAGGACATGGCTTTATCTGGAATAAGAATATGGACTTTAACATATATTTGAATCTCAAGCCAATACAGCTTGTAAGAACTGATGTATTACTAACTCAAGCAATTAATAGACCTGTCTTGTCCATGCAATAAAGGTAGTTACTAACACAGAGTCAGAGGCTAGATATAAGGATGAACAGTTCATCTGTCAAGGCCATAGCCATGCCATGGAGGAGCACAATATATTGCTTGGTGCCAGGAACTAGGGCCCTGCATGCTGGAGCAGCCTTGAAGTACCAAGAGGATGGTTTTTACATATCGAGTTGGACAATAGGTCAGAGGCTTGGGGAACATGTAGACTGGAAGACTACATAGGCATTGGGAAGGAGGGAGGTCAGTGGACACTTCAAGTTAGAAGCAGGTAAACAAGCTATCAGTAGCATGTGAACAACAAGCAAGGGACTCAGGAAATCAATATTCTGGAAGCCTGGGGATGAGTGTAAACTGAACATTTGTAAATGCATACATGCAATTTTCTGGAAGAAGATTCCTTAAAACTTTCATCACCTTCTCTATGTGGTCCATGACCCCCCAAAAGGTTAAAAACCACTGAAGTAGTGATCTGCAAATACTGACAGTAGAACAAGGAGGGAGTGTTCAAAAGCTGAGGCAAATGGTAACTGGCAGAAAGTGAGACAAGAGGAAGAATTGAATAATCAGTGCAAGGCACATGAAACAAGAGGACCTTGGTGGCTGGGCGCAGTGGCTCACGCCTGTAATCCCAGCACTTTGCAGGGTGGAAGTGGGAGGATCACTTAAGCCCAGATGTTCAAGGCTGCAGTGAGCCAAGACTGGTCACTGCACTCTAGCCTGGGTGACAGAGCAAGACCCTGTCTCAACAACAACAACAAAAAAAGTGCCTTGATAATGGAAGAAAACCTGTGCCCTGGACCATGACTTTTGCACTCTTCCAGCATGGCTGGGATCAAACGTGGCTGCTCCAGGCTAGCAGACAACATATGTGAGAACACAATTAAATTAATGATAGATCAGAAAGACTGGCTGTTCCTGATGCCTAAGTATATGTAGATAGAAAAGTGAGGTTTTGAGAGTTGTGTTTACATGGGAGTGACTGACAGAGTTGGGAAGTGTAGTGGGTAACACCATGAAGCATACATTAATTTATGGCCTGGATCTGCTCTACTTTCTATTCATGATGTAAATGATGTTAACTGTATTGATTCAATACATCAAAGGTCATCTGGCCCGGACTCACCATCCCTGCCACCATCACCAGGGCTCAGCTCTCTCCAGGTCAACCAGAATGTGTGAAACACTGCAGCTCCCAGGCCTTGGTTAAGTTTACCCATGGCTAGATCTTCAAAAGATCCACTGTCTGCATATACATGTCATTAAAGCAAACAGGAGAAACAGGCCTATGCTCCCTGGAACATGGGGGAGAAGTGTTCCTTGAGGGAAAATTTATGAAATAAGTAACACCTTGGTAATAGTAATTAAAAAAAAACTTGGAATGCATATTCCTTTGTCTAAGATGGGTTAAAAGGAGAGAATTAAAAAAAAATTTGGAATGCATATGCCTTTGTCTAAGATGGGTTAAAACTAGAGAACTGTGCATACGGTTCATAAAGAAGAAAGGACGTAGGTAAGGTACGGGCCAGAAGGAGGAGTTGGTACAAGGTGTCCAAAGGTAGGGCTCCTCCTGGGAGCACAGGTGGCAGAGAGTGAGGACTGCTTTTTGATGCTTTCCCTCTACTCCTTTTATAGCAAATCTCTCATTTTCTCTCTCTGTAGTTTTTATTGATCAGGTTTTCTTTTGTATTACCATTCTCACCATCTGATGGATAAGCTACCAGCTAGTGGGTACTGTTGTACTATACTCCCCAGGTGGAACCAAGGGTATATACAAAAGGTAGAATTTAATAATTATATCCCAGTGTCTCCTCTGGATTAAGTGTATTCATTAAACTTTTATTCAAACCTATTATCACCTTCTTGGAAAATCCAATTAAAAAATACTTTAGGGCCATTGTTAGGAAACATGCAAATAGAAACAGAGGTGATCCAGTGATAGGAGAGGAGAGTGTCATTTACATAAATAAAATAAAGGACTGTGGCACCTTTCAGATCTACTGTGCATGTGTGAAAGGAAAAGAGAAAGAGGGAGAGGGGCTGTAAAATTTATAGTGAGAAATAGCAAAATCCTTGTTTTTATTCATGAAAAGCCTACCTTATCACTTAATGCTAATGAATGTCATTAAAAGGATGTTGATGCATAATTAGAGATTATAGCACCTTGACTTCATGTGAAATGTGATGGTGAAGACCCAGGCAACCTCAACCATGGGAAAAGTATGATAAACCCCACAAACCTAATGCCAGAATGTGGGGACTATAATAAAATGGAGTCTCAGAGAACCAGAAAAGTACCCCTGCCATCCTCTGCCTTGGATTTGCCTGACAATCCTTGGCTATGCCACCAGCCAGTCTGTGTTGGTGGCAATGGAGGGGAAGGAGGGTATTGGTTCTGTTAAATTATTTACATTAAAATGTTCAGCCCTTAAAATTCTGGATTTTAAAAAAAGAGCTTAATTGGTAAGTTCCCAAAATGAGGAGAGAGAAAAAAAAAATTTCTGGCTTTGCAAACCATAATACAGTACGCTAGCAAGATATAAAAAGGTAATTTGTTAGTAAACTGAGTGATCACCATGTGCAATCCCAGCTTAATTTTAGAGTCTTAAATACTGAATTTGGAAAGCATATATATCTATTTCAGCAAAATGTTCGATGTTGAAATTCTCTTGGACTTTGTGCTTTCTACATTGCAATGTTAATAGCTGCCGTTTATTGAGGGCCTCTTGCAAGCCAGAACTGTGATATGTATCTTATTTACATTATTTGTAATCCTCACAATAACCTCATAGCAGAGATAATATTATTTACATATCACTAGAGGAAATTGAGGAGTGTTAACCAGGTGGCCAAAGTCACGTGGTGAGCAAGTGGTAGGACTGACATTAGAATCCTGGTTGATCTGGTTCCAAGCTCTTCTGCATTTTGATGCTCCCACCCAGAGAACTGTATGTTGGGAAGTTTGTGCATCAACGAAAGGTTTGTTGTATGTGGTGGTCCCAAACGGTAAGTTCCTATCTTGGGTCCTATGTAGTCCCCACTGGTAAGGTCTCTAAAGTATCTAGTTTAACTTGTATCTGCACATTTTCTTGGCTCTTTATTTAATATTAAACCAGAAAAAAAAAATGTGGCCCCAAGGGCTATTCTGAGAAAGAAGAGCCTTTGAAACAGAAATGGAAAAGGATTCGCTTCCCTCCAGACTTTCCCCTATGCACAACAAAATGTTTATGTTTGAAAGGTGGAATGTTTGGCTTGTTATCTGGGAGGAAGTAGTATATCTGTCCTTGGCTGCTACTAAATTGTACAGATAATTAAAACATTATTTTTCTATCAGAACAGAATGTATTGCCAAATGGAGATTCCTTTGGGGACAAAATGATGAAAACCTATACCACCAAAGCAGACTGGAGTACATCTAGACAGGATGTCACTAAGAAATGGAACCTGGAAGACTTCTTTTTGAATGCATGATTTCTGTTTCAAAAGACACAAGGATATGGGGCAGTGGTTTCTTGTGACTTAAGCTCATCAGCAGAGGCTCTGAGTGGAGCTAGTGGATTTGGCCCTCTTTGCTGAGCTGTTGGGGAGATCCTCCCACAAAATCATATTTCTTTTGGCTTCAGAGTTCAGCAAAATTGAGTATCTTTTTAAATGAAAAATTAATTATACTAAGATGTATTTCACTTCAGATGGTGATGATCCATTTTCTACCAACAATCCTTATCAAGCATCTGCTGAGGCTACCTTATCCAGGGAAATGCTTTGACTTCTTATGAAGAGAATGGTATCTCCCTTCTTTATTGCTGCATTACTTTCAACATTCTCTTTCCTGAATCAGGATTTAAACCAATACATCCTTCAATCTTGCTTAATTTAGTGAAAACAAGATTGTTAGAGTTGTATTCCTCTTGAGTCTCTCAATTAAGATCAGATACAATGCTATGAAAAAACTGATTAGGGTGATGTAGGTGAAGTATAGAAATGAGGAAGTGAGAGCAAGAGAGAGCACTGGACAGAAACTACAAGACTGGCAGAAGCTTGTACTGACTGAAAAATTAGCCATGATTGGCAGGACAAAGGATATATGGGAATAAACGTGGGCAATAAAACAGCAATGAAGATTTCTCTGGGAAGACTCCTTCAAGTGGTGTTTAATCCCCGATCTGGCACTGTTGGGTGTACAGTTGCTTGGTTAGTTTAAATGAGGAACAGGTTTGGCAGCAGAAAGGAGGGAGATGGGACCTACTCCTTGTTGTACAATAGATTCTAATATGCTGCTTTGTCTTAGTAAAAAAAATTAAAATAATCCCTAGTGGCTGGGCTTTGAGGGGGGAATGTTTTTATGTTTCAGTCATTTTTCTGGACCAGGATGAGATGGAGGGTTTTTGCAATATGTTTCCTATAGCCTAGGGCAAAAACTTTCTCCGTGGGCTTCTCTATGTCGTCTGAGTGATGAGAGGGAAACAAACCAGGGTACGACATAGTTTAGTAAAGCCTGGATCACATGAAAATTTGGTGGTAAATACATACTCTAAAGCTTTAGGGCCCATAGCTAAAGAAAAAAATTTTGGAATAACTTTTTAAAAGAGATTTGAAATTTGTGAGAGATAAAGCAGATAATATAAATCCTAATCTCTTCTCAACGTGTGTGTGTGTATGTGTGCGTGCACAAACACACACACACTCATACACAGAGAGATACACACACCTGGGTCATTTCATCAGGTATCAGAGTTCTTTGGAAGTGAGTGAAGGATTTTGGTTTTGATGGATGTTCTTGCTATACTCAAGGCTTTTTTATCTGTAGCCTTTTTGAAGTTTTATTATTTCCATAAGTTAATATTGATATCATTTTTCGGTTTCCTCATAGATAGATCCTGTCGAATTGTCTGGCTGTTTTTATCAAGGATATGGTCTATGGGATCATTAAAATGATGTGACATCATGCTTACAGAATATTTTAAAAACTCATTAAAAACTCAAAATGCAGGGTTTCTCCCTACAATGTATGAAGTCTTTTTCTTTTTCTTTTTTTTAAAGACAGGATCTTGCTGTGTCACCCAAGCTGGAGTACAGTGGCATGAATATGGCTAACTATAGCCTCGACCTCCTGGGCTCAAGTAATCCTCCTGCCTCATCCTCCCATGTAGTTGGGATCATAGGTGTGCATCACCACACCTAGCTAAGTTTTATTTTTTGTAGAGATTGAGGTCTCACTTTGTTGCCCAGGCTGGTCTTGAACCCCTCGGCTCAAGCAGTCCTCCTGCCTTGGTCTCCCAAAGTGCTGGGATTACAGGTATGAGCCACCACACACCCAGACCTTGTATGAGGTCTTAAACATATGTCACGGTAAATCTTTTTTTTTCTTCTATGTTCCTCTTCACTTACCTTCTTCATGTTCAGTAAAAAGAAAGTGCCAGAACATATAGCATGAGCCATTGTAAGATACATGGATGTGCTTTGGTTAAGGAAAAGGCCGAGGCGGATATCCAGGCGAGTATGAGTCAGCAAGTTTGGTGCGCAGGCACACACCTCCACTTATTATATAGCCTGTTCGTGTAAGTTCATGCTTGGCTTGGAGCCACTATTGTCTGTAAAAGGTATAACTGTCCTGCTGACTCTGTGCACGGGGCTTAGCTCTTGGGGGGCTCGGCTCGGCTCAACACGGCTTGACATGGTGGGCACGCTGGCGTCCAGAGAAAGAGAGAGCCAAAGCTGTCCTTCTTGCAGACAGACAGGAGGGGGCCAAAACACAGCTCAGGCTTGTTTGTGCTCAAAGAGAGAAAGTTAAGCTGTTGACCCTGAAGGCAAGGGAGAACTGGCCTCGCAACCTTGCGTGGGGGTGGCCAATTCAAGCAGCTGAGACAGAGCGGACAGCGTAAGAAAAGCTGCTCAGGAGAGAGGTAGTTTAAGAAAGCTGTTGATGAGAGCTGCTGCTGAATAAAACCATATTCACCCGCCTGTGGCCCCCCGAGGGTTCTTTCTGCTCATCCACCCACTCCCCTCGGACTTCAGCATGGTGTGGACCTGGACCCCAGGATCTGACAGCCATGAAAGATGTTGTTAATCTCAGAATAGAGTTAAGAGGAAATTAAAGCTTACTTTTAAACTATTTTACACTTACTGGCAGGCAGGAGCCAAGTGGTTCCTATAGTCTCAAATGTAGAGATTTATCAAAGCTGTAAGGAAGGTATGGCGCTAAAAGGTGCAGAAAACTGGCTTCAATTAACATTCTAATCATCACTGTCAACGCCATTATGCAACTCTGTGTAGAGTGGCATATTCGGCACTGTGGGGTTAAACATAAGCAGTGGGCGCTGCCTTCCCTAGAATCGCAGTATCGAGAGCTGTTGTCAACAGCTCAATTCGGGGCCTGCAGACAAAAGGTTCTGTACCCACTTACCAATTCCCTGAGCTCTCCAGTCCCTGGTAAATTGCTTTTGAACACATTCTCAACTTTTATCTTTTTTTTTTTAAATGAAAATGTTAGTGGGTAAAATCCAGTATAAGGGACACATTATTCTGAGAGCATAGCTTTCCCTACCGATACCAGCGTCATTTCCACTGCTCTGTAATAAGTAGCTGCAGCTGTTGCCATGGCGATTTTCATTTTTAAAAACTGTATCCATACAAAGACAGGCAACGCAGCTGTTTCCATGAAGCATCACGAAATAAGCCCAGATGTAATGGCACTCCTGTCTTTTTCCAGAATTAAGGAGATGTGTCTAAAAGTCCAGGTAGAGCCAAAGGATGGGGCTGTAGCTGTGCCTTGAGAGGAGCCTCCTGCTTTCACTTGAAGCTCAGGACACTAATGGAGGGTAAATTAGTGGCGCTAGTGAGCGTTCAATTTCTACCCAGTTTTCTCAGGCAGATTCTTTGTACCAGTGAATCACTATTTACACTGTGATTATAACTTCCTCCAATAGCCTCCTTTGAAAAAGACACCGTCTTCCTCCAAATCCGCACATGCTACCCCGGAACATTACAAGAACAAGCACTGCTGATGGGGCTCAGTACTTGTTTTTCTGAAGTCCCGTGGCCTCCTACCTACATGTTATTAAAATGCTGCAAGCAAGCAAGTCAACACAAGTTTTTAAAATCATTCTCCACTTTCCAGTTAGAGGAAGCGTGCTGCCTGCTGCTGCCCTTGTCCTTTAATATGGAGGGAGTTTGGTTTTCTCTGTGTGTGGTCTGGTAGGCACCAATAAGGACAAAAAGATACCTGTCAAGCTCACCATTTCCTGAACAATGGTATTATCTTTCTCAGGGAACAGGAATCTTTTGTTTGTTTCTATTTTTGTTTTGAGGCCATTGATTTGCTAGCCAAGCCAGATGCTGAAAATTATGTAAGTAGAACCCACAGGTCGCCTCAATCCCTCATTCTAAACAAGATTCAAATGAGTTACCCCCTCACTGACCTGGAGAGCTATTTCTTCTGTCACATAGGTGCAGTGCACCAGATGGGACTGTGGCAGAAGAATAGTTAGGTGAAGAAAGCCTACCGTGTGCCTCATGGGGAAAGGATTTTAAAAGAAATTATATTTCCTGTCCATAGTCCTCCATCTCATATAACTATTTAACTCGTAAAAAACATAATTATGTTTCTGAATTTCTTTATATTTTGCCAATCAGTTACAGCTATTTTGTTGTTACTAAGAGCATTGAATTATAAACAGTATAAAACGCCAAATGCTCAGGAATCTAATAATAAAAGGACTTTTCCTGGAAAGCATAAGTAGTTCTTTTCTTCTATAAGGAGAGCCTCTGTTTGCAAAGAAATACGGCTGTGCTTAACATCTGAGTAGTCAGCAATCTTAGTGGTGGTGGTTGCTATTAATTGTAGTTGAGATGTGACCTACACATAATCCACAGAAGCCGTGGGGCTTTATGAGCACAACAATTGCCTGTGTTTGATTCTACCTTGCCAGGGATACTCTCCAAGATCCTGCAAAATATCATTTCTCTCCTTTGCACTATTGAGATGCAAATGGCGCTACTGGCTGACCACCGACAAGCTTTATGAGCAATAAGGAATCCAAATTCCTTCAAGGCATCCTTAAATATTAAAATGTCATACATAAACAAAATATGTAATGAACTTCAAATAATTACAACAAACAAAAATCTTATGCGTCCCTCAAGACCTGTAAGAAATCAAAGGGTCTCAGAATATTTCATCTGTCTTATCATCGAAGTAAGATATCAATGCCTCTTTCCATTTAAGAAAAATCCCAGAAACCAAATCAAAACAAAAAATTCTGGAGAATGCACTTGTCCAACATAAAGCAACTAAACAGTCACTGTCCCGATTATTGTTCTCTGGCGTTTTACCTACCAGCCCGGTACTGCTTCCAGATGTTTTGCTACCTTTTTTTTTTAATTAAAAAATTTTTTTTATAATTATACTTTAAGTTCTGGGATATATGTGCAGAATGTGCAGGTTTGTTACATAGGCATACATGTGACATGGTGGTTTGCTGCACCCATCAACCCATCATCTACATTAGGTATTTCTCCAAATGCTATTCCTCCCCTAGCCTCCAACCCCTCAACAGGCCCCGGTGTGTGATGTTCCCCTCCCTGTATCCATGTGTTCTCTTTGTTCAACTCCCACCTATGAGTGAGAACATGCGGTGTTTGGTTTTCCGTTCCTGTGTTAGTTTATTGAGAATGATGGTTTCCCATCAACGATAGATTAGATAAAGAAAATGTGGCACATATACACCATGGAATACTATACAGCCATAAGAAAGGATGTTTTGCTATCTTAAAGAGAAGCAAGAACTGAAAGAAATTCCCCTGGATGGACAAGAATTCTATAAGTGTGTGAAAAATACAACAAGTAGAACTCATTAATTTATCAGATTTTAATATTAACACATGGGTAAGTTGAGCTTTAAAGCTAATAACTCTACTATTTCTAAATATCAATGATCTGCAGAGATTGGTGACATTCTTATTCCCTACATAGAATTGAGATCACCCTCCCAAAACGCAATAAATCAGAGAGGTTGATCAGCATGAAAATGTCTATGTTGGTCAGCAACCATGGCTAAGGAAAGAATTAGGAAATTATTTCATAGCTATCATGAGGAGCTAAAATAATGAAATATAGGAGATATAGACTGTTAAATTAACCATAAGGCTGAAAACATTTTCTCCACAAATGTTTTCAACTACTTCAAATCCTCTTTTTCACTGTGCCCAAGGCTAAGTGAGAGGAGACCCACTGGGCTGCCTCTCTCACTCCTGGCAGGGCTTGCTGGAGATCAGAAGAATAATGCAGGGAGGAAGTTCTGTGTGATTTATTTCAACTGAGCATAACAAAGTGGTGAATGGGGATGTAAGCGGAAATGTTGCAAGTGTATTTGTGTAAGCACACATTTCATTTCTCTTAGACATGGGAAGTTGAGGGGAGAAACAGTCTCAATAATGACAGTGGGGGGTTATTTTTCAAAATGTCTTGTCTTTGATGTAATTCTGATATTAATGTTTCTATTGAGATTCATGTTTATTCATTCAATGAATATTTACTGAGTACCTCCTGACAGCCTGGCCCTATTGTAGGTGCTGGAGATATGCAAGTGAATATGACATGGAAGGACTCAGGGAGATAGGCAATAAATATACAAATTAACAATCAGTCTTTTGAGATGGGAAATCATTTGTAACCCTCCCCACCCCCAAATTTAAAATAATTCAGAATTTAGAATTACAAAGGGACTTCAACAATATCTCATCTGCATTTCTTCATATTCCCATGAAATAAATTTTGTGGTAAGCTTCATTTTGTAGAATTTGGAATTGAAATTCAGTCAAGTTGAATGACTTGGCGAAATCCATTTCAACAGTCAATGGGGGAGCCAGCGTTTCTATTCTGCAGAACCTCTGCTCTTTCACTGTATCACACACCACCTCCACAGATTGTTTTTAACATTTGTGCTTCTATGTGCAGTTTCAAAATCTGGTATTAAACCACTTTCCAAATTCATGTATTTAACCCTCCCACCTCTGGTGCCAACTCAGCGCTGCAGATTTCAAATAAATCATTGCTTTCAAATTAAGTTTACTATAAAGAATCTATTGGAAGGTAATTTGATAAGTGGCTACATCAGATGAAATGTGAACATGACTTTGCATGATCACTGCCCCTTCTATAGGCTTTTCTGGAGGAAACACCTTCACTGGTCTCGAGACACTCTCACTTTGCTACATGGCATTGTGCCATGCCCCCCACTGTTCCAACATCCCCCCTCTACCCTCACTGTTCCTGCAGTACCCCTTGCTGCCATCATCACTGCACTCACACTCCCCTGGCTCAGACTTGCTCTGCAGTTCCTGGAGAAATTCTACTTTGTTGCCTTTCCAGCCTATATACAGCAGTATTCCCATGTCCTTTTTTGTTTAAATTCTTAGCCAATGTCTTTCTCCAAGTTTTAAAAACTAATTGTTCCTACAGGTTTTATTTGTCCTTAATATTATCATGTAAGAAATTAACTTTGGTGTTGTGTCATTTATTGTCTCAAATCAGCCAAGAGTTAGAGGCGAGCAGGGCTGTTTGACCACATTGTTTTGGCATGTCCAGGGCTTGTTCACTATGGGACCAGCAGCACGTAGCCCAGTCTGGAGCAAAGAGCCTCCTTCCTGTGCATGCTCCTGACATCAGCTAAGGTTCTGGCTCAGGCCCAAGAACTAGGTCAACACATTTCAAGATCTCAACGTGAGATCTGGGTGAACGTCCACCTCTTAAGATGTTCTCTCCAGTGAGGAAGGCCAGCTGGAACAGGTCAATTGCTCGAAACATTCACTAGCTGCCTTTACAAGGACTTAGTTAATTTTAACAATTCTTTTACCCTCTAGACATTTTTAATGCTTAAATATCTTAATTTAACTGTTTAATAATAGTTATTGTACTTTAATAAATATTTCATTTATTTTAAATGTTTTAATAATTTCTTTTAAAAGACTAGGAAATATAGACACAAATGGGGCAATTCTATAGTCTAAAATTATAGAGGTTAACTCTGTTTTTCCTGGTTGAATATGGTATCTGATGCTTAGCTCTGTATTATTGGGTAAGTTGCTGAAGCTACCCGTACAATAGGGATAATGATAGCACTTGACTTCCCCAAAGAAACCCCTTTAACCTTGGAAAACGATTCCCTTCATTCAGTTTCAACTCTGTCCCTGAGGGCCATTTAAGATGCAGCCCTCCTAAAAATATAGCATTTGAAATGGCATTTCCAAGATTTGTGGATAAGAATGCTGATGACCACATGTGAGCATAATGGCGCTTTAAAGCCAAGATTTCCTCTTCCATAGTCTATGCACAGAAATCTGCAGCCTCAAGCTCTTAAATTCTTGAACACATTCAGGTTTTAAGGAAACTGTTGACTTTATCAATGTAGAGATGGGAAAGAAATATGCAAACTAGGCCTGCACCTTTTCATACCATTTGGTCCAGGTACATTTGTCTCCTGGGATTGGAATTATATACATTTCTCACTGATCAATAACATAAATATTGACTTTCACCCATAGAAGTCATCTCTGAATGGTCTTCATCCAATACTTAAAAGTGCTCACATCTGAGATTCTAGAAGGACCATCTAAAGTATGTGAGATCCAAGCATGCTTCCAGGTTACTGTGGTAGGCAGCCTTCAAGATGGCCCTCAATGATCCCTGACACTTGGTATTCACGCCCTCTACATTCCTCTCTCACATTGCACTAGGGTGGTCTGTGTGACCAACAGAATTGGCTGGAAGTGACAGTATGTCAGTTCTGAGATTAGATTGAATCCATTTTGTTGCTCTTTCATTCTCTCACAATATTTCTCTTGAATTATTCTCTCTGGGGAAAGCAAACTCTTGTGCAGCCCTGTAGAGAAGTCTGTGGCAAGAAACTGAAGTTCTCACTCAACAGCCATATGAGCAAGCTTGGAAGTGGATCCTTTGGTCCTGGTCAAGTCTTCAGAGGCTATAATCCTGGCCAACAGCTTGTCTGCAACCTCATGAGAGACCATAACTAGAACCAGTCAGCCTAAAGAGATCTTTAGAAACTGTGAGATCATAAATGTTTGCTATATTAGGCAGCAAAGTTGTGATGTAATTTGTTACACAGAAATGGACAACCGTTACTTAGGCTCTACCTTTGTTTCATAGCAGATCACCAGAAACAACCTGACGTGAGTATTTTAGCAGTGGCTTTATTCAGTTAGGGGTCACTGTTTTACTTTTTGCTTTTACAGAGGGGTGACTTTTAGAAGGTGCATTTGAAGAATTCTTCTGTGTCTTTTGTAAGACTATAATCAAGAACATTGTCTATGACGTCACTTCATGCTTTATTTCTCACAGAATTCGATAACAGAAAAAAACACATTGTTGATGACTTGAGTATTTTCTTTAACTGACCTGCAGAATCATAAAAACTGACGTGCTTTCCTTTTCACTCTGTTGCCAGGATGCTCTGAATAAAATTTAGTTCTAAATTAAGGTCTATTTTGTGCCAGATACACATTTTTTTTAAGAAAGTGATACAGTTTTTTACTTTTAGTTATCCTTTTTGAAATAAATATTCCTTAGCCCTGTAAGCCCACTCAAGTTCTTTATGGAAGTAATTAATTCAAGGTACTGTGAATTTGTTGATTCCCTGTTACATGCCAAGCAGGGTGCGAAGCTCTGGAAACACATAGATGAATAAGACAAGAAGTAAGGTTTTCTCTTATGGAGCTCAAAACCTAGTGATGAAGAGCTATGTGGAGAACCAAGCATAAAACTAGGTGACAGACACAGTCTTCATAGAGTAAATGTAGCAAGCTGGGAGTGCTAGTGAGAGAAGATGACTCCTGAGTTGGGATGGCAACCAGAACTGGGCCTGATGAAGAAGGAGAGGCTGGCATTAAGGCTCAGAGAAAATAATAGTTGTCTAGGATGTGGTGAAGAAGTTTAGTATGACTGAAGTGGGGTGGAGTGAAGGTGGAAGTATATAAAGTGCAAATCAAACACAATTAATATGCCTCCGAGTATGTGAGAACACAGTTTACATGGAAGAGATTGCAATACAGTAAAAGCTACTTTTTCCACATTAGGTACTGGCTAAATTATAAATAGCTAACCTACCAGAGAATAATAAAGCCATTTAATAACAGTTTACAGTACTCCCACTCAGCTGTGATATTGTTGAATTCTTGCAAAACAAGAAAGAAGCAATACTTTAGAACTGGAAACATGTCCAATTCTTATTCATTGCCCACAGATTCTGGCAAGTTTTCAATGAGGGCCCCTCCGGTTGAAACAAGTTAGAGACTGAATTCTGGAGGCTCTGCTTCTGCAGGAACCATTAAGCGTCACAAAGGGACAAATGCACCAACATGAAGCAGAAGTGAAAGCCCCTTTTCTGCTTGTCTAAACCACATGGAGCGCATTATGTTCATATTTACTACAAGTGGTCTCTATATTTTCTTTACAGGACTTTAGATTGTTGCCCCAAATAACAAATATACTTCCTTTGGAGCGCATCAAAAGAGCAGGGCCAACATCCTGATCTCAGTGTATTAAAGAAGTGCCTGAGTGCTCAAACATTCAGCAGCTAACCAGATTCATCAGCCCTTTACACATTTGGTAGGATTCTAATGGTGACTTCTTTGATGGTACACTATAACTTGTTCTAATCTTTAGAACAGAAGTTGCCAACTCAGGTGCCTGCAAGGCCACACCTGTGATGGAAAGGAACAACCTGTCTGTGGAACCCAGGAGAATGATGGGAACCCCAACACACCAAGCCAGCAGCTATTCCCACACACTGGCACAGGGCTGCAGTGTTGGAACATGAACTTTCTGGTTATTTTTGCTTGTTTGTTTAAGAGAAACTGAAAGTCTAAACCATTGTGTAAAATTTGCCAATTTTTAAATGTTGGCATCGCATATAAAAGATTTAAGCTGTGTGTGGACTAAACAAAGTACATCTGCAGATGAGATCTGGCCTGTGGACCACACATTTGTAACTTAAGCTTTAGACAATCATATTAGCAGATATTATCTCTGGCATATATTGAAGGAATTGTACAGAAACCACTTTTAAGGCCTCAAATTTGTTTTCGGTGACCTTATGACATCACTCAGTGCTGACAGGTGTATAGAACCGTGTTAAGCAAGTTATGCAACCTCAGAAAGCCATTAAAAGATGGTTCCAGATACAAGTACAAATAAGCTGATAGAGAAATCTCTCCTGCATTTGTGTATATAAATTATAACAATGTTTTAAACACATAGCTGAACTCAAATCCCCAGAGGTAAGAAACAAAGGGAAAACCCACAGTGAGAACGATAAGCTCTGCTCCATGCTATTTATAAAGAAAACCCTCACAAAAGATGTGTGGGTGCTGCTTTAACTGACCTGAAGAATCATATAAATTAATATCCTTCTCATTTCATTCTAACATTGTCTCACAAAAATATTTAAAAGATATACATAGGCTGGGCACGGTGGCTCAGGTCTGTAATCCTAGCACAGCACGTTGGGAGGCTGAGGTGGGTGGACCACCTGAGGTCAGGAGTTCGATACCAGCCTGGCCAACATGGCAAAACCCCTTCTCTACTAAAAATACAAAAATTAGCCAGGCATGGTGGCAGGCGCCTATAACCCCAGCTACTCAGGAGGCTGAGGCAGGAGAATTGCTGGAACCTGGGGGAACGAGATGGAGGTTGCAGTGAGCTGAGGTGGTGCCACTTCACTTCAGACTGGGCGAAAGAGTGAATCTCTCTCTCTCTCTCTCTCTCTCTCTCTCTCTCTCTATATATATATATATATATATATATGTATATAAAACCACTATGAAGGGAAGGCAGATAATTTAAAAACATTAAAAAGAAGAGCTAGTAGTGTAAAAAGATAGAAACAGAACAGCCTGAAAGATTTTCTAAAACAACTGCATTTAAATAATTAAAAATATCATTAAATTAAATATAAAATACAATGAAAGAATAGGACTCTAGACAATTTGAAAAAGGAAGAATTAAAATCTAGAGTGTAAACCATAGGCAATAAAATTGAAAACTCAGTTGGCACAGCTCAACCGAGAATTAGAACAGGATCTGAGGGAATCATCCAGAACACAGGTTAAAAAACAAAAAGATAGAAAGGTAAAATGTAAAAGAATGTTAATGGGCATGCAGAATAAATTAAAAAATAGTCCAACATATATCTGTTGCAGAAGAAAGAAGGTAGGTGAGAGAGGAACTATTCTAAGAAATTTTTTTTGTAGAACTGAAGAAACATATCAAATTCTGAGTGGAATAAGTAAAATAAACACTCAGATTTGCTGTAGTAAAACTGTACAAAATACAATACATAGAAAGTAAAATATCAACCAGAGAGAAAAGACAGATTAGCTAAAAAATAGAATAACAATTACAGAGCATATTTTAAATCAATATCAAAAACAAAATAAATACAAAAAAATATAAAATATAATTACCTAATATCAACAAAGTTCTGAGGGAAAATATTTGTTAATTTTGAATTCTATATCCAGATAAACTATATTTCAAAAGTGAGGACAAAATAGATTTTTAAGCAAAAGAATAATAATTACTGCTAAATTACTACTACCGAGATAATTTACTAATCATATGCTTTTAGTAAGAGAATCACTAAAGGAAAAACTTCAGAAAGAATAAAACTGAACACAGAGGAAAGAGTAGGTGCATGAAGCATTGTTAAGCAAACAAACTGTTAAACATGTAGAGAAGCCAAAGTAACCACTAATTGTAAAATAATAATGATTACTGAATGGTTAAAAATAAGGTAGAACTAAAACACTAGCAAATTGATAGCATAAATAACGGAAGGGATGAAAATCATTAAAGCATTTTAATTTATACATAGTGTCCAGGATGATGCTAGGAATATTTGTTTATTTCAGAGCTTGTTAATTATGTATTCTATGTTAATTATGTAGGCTAAAATTTAAGGATAATGACTAAAATAATGGAAGAAACTAGAAAGAGTCACTCCATAGTAATAGAACAACAACAACAAAAGGGACATAGAGAATTCAATAATCAATCCAAACAAAATCAGGAAAGAGGAAAACAAGAACCCTAGAAAAAGCATTTACATTGAAAACACAAAATAAGGTATGAGATATATTTATATATACATATATAACAGATGTATATTTAATATATATAAATGTTTGGCATGTGATTTATATGTGTTTTAAATGTGTTATGTTTTATAGCACAAATATTTTTAACTTATATATGTATAATTTTCACAGGAGTACAAAGAGGTATATTCATATACAGAAGGATATTCACATGGCATTTTTGGAATACTGAAAAAATGACAACACCTCAAAGGTCTAGTAATAGAAAATGCGCAAATAAAGTGTAATATATAATGAAATATTAAACAACAGTTAACATGAATGAATTGTGTCTAGAATTACCAATATGGATAAATTGTAAAAGACATAATGGTGAAGAATAGCAAAAGCAAGTTGTAAAAGGATAACAGAGCAGACTCTTGACTGGCTACCTAAAAGTCATCAATAGCCTCCTTTTTTATTTTTCTGGTGATATTCTCTACTGAGGGTGCTGAAAAGTTAAAAGAATCAGCAACTTGCCCTTTCTTGCAGCAAGGGGTACATCAGTTCTAGCAAATAATATGCAGTGAACATCTGTGGGTGTTTTCCCCTTCCCAAAAAGAAAGATAAAACTTAACAAGAGCAAGGCTTTTGGCTGTTGGTCTTCCCTCTTTGTCCTCCCTGGAATGTGAACTTCTGAGGTTTAGTTTGCTAACTTGCAAGCAACAGGTGAAGAGTCACACACCAGGATAGTGAAGCAGGATGGATAGATGACATCAGCGGGCCAAGGACCACCACGGTGGGCTTTCCCTAGACTTCTTGTTATGCAGACAAACAATATTCTTAGTTCTTTAATATCCTGTGGAAGGACTTTTTTTCTGGTACTGGTAGCTAAATGCAATGTAATTGAAACATATAAGTACAGTATAATACCATTTATGTAAAATTTTAAAAATATAGAAATCTGTTATATATTGCTTATGGGTACAGACAGACATAACGCATATGAAAAACTGGTCAGGAAGGACCCACATTGAGGTTAAGATGTGGTTACCTGTGCAGAGAAGGGTGTTAGGGGAAGGGAAAGAATAGGGAGGAACAGGACTATGGCTGTTGCTATATTTTATTCTTTTAAAAAGAGTTCTAAAGTAATATCAATGCTGAAAAAGAATCTGAGTGATGAGTGCTAGTTTTTTTCTGTATATAGCTGAATTATTTTAAAACTTTTATCTAGAATAAAATAAATTTGAAATTACGTAAACTCCTTAGCTGTCTATGATGCGACACGGTTCGTTGTGGGTGGTGCTCTGTAATTCCCTTATCTGATCCATTTTTCTCACTCCAGTGAGTGAAAGCAGGGTTGAAGATGAGTCTATTCTCCATCAGACTGTGCTATGTATAGATCCACTGCAACCCTAGCAAATGACCTAAGAGAACAGATTCCTGGGAAGCTTTCATGTTGTGTCAGGGTAAGCAAATAACAGTTCTGGACACAGTGTTCCAAAAACATTAGATGACTGCATCTAAAGAATGCAAGCAAGATGCAAGCAAAAAAACATGGTGATTGGCACTTGGAGTTGGTGAAGACAAAGATATGGAATAACGACAAGCTTGAAGAAATCCCAGCTCATGGGTGAATTTTCTATAGAATAGGATAGCCTAGAATCAATACTTTTTCAATTACATTTAAAAATTGTTTACACAATCTAGTATTTGGGCAGCAAGCTAGGAATGTTGTAGCTATTGATTTTAAATAAAATTTTATCAATCAAAGATATACCTTCTCAAGGGGAATTTCTTTTTTTAATTCAGAGAACTGAGAGAGTATAAAGTGAAAAGTGGAAGACTTTTCCTCCCTCTCTGACACCCAAGTCCCACTTCCAGACCTAAATACTGTTACTATTCCTTACAGTTCTAGAGATTTTATACATAGATTAGCAAAGTTACACCCTTTCTATTTTTTAGAAATAAGAGATAATACTAAACATATTATTCAGTAAGTTGGTTTTTAACTTAATTTATATATTAGATATCTTTCCACATCGGCTCACATAGATGCATCTACCTCTCTTCAACATTTATAAATGTTATATGCAGTTAATGCATTTATTAAACCAGTTCTGTACTGATGGACATTTAGGTTGCTTTTAATTTTTTGTTTTATAAATAATGTTACAATGAATATTTTTGAATAACTCATCTTTTCCCTACAGATATGAAAAGCTATTTGATTATATTCAAAATTCCCATAGGTATTTGTTTAGATTTTTCTTATGACTCTATTCTTTCATAAATCTGCCAGCCCCTTCCTTCGCAAGCACCAAAGTTTGATGGCTGAGCTTCATAATATATTTTCATATCTGATAGAGTTCACTCCTTAGCATTACTTAGAACTTTCGGAGTTTTCCTTTATTTATTTTTTTTTTATTTATTTGAGAAAAGGTCTCTCTCTGTCACCCAGCCTGGAGTGCAGTGAGGCAATCATGGCTCACTGCAGCCTTGATCTCCCAGGCTCAAGCAATCCTCCCACCTCAGGCTCCCCATTAGCTGGGACTACAAGCATGCCACCACACCCAGTTAATTTTTTAATTTGCAGTAGAGAAGGGGTTTCGCCATGTTGCCCAGGCTGGTCTTGAACTCCTGGGCTCAAGCAATCTTCTTGCCTTCGCCTCTCAAAGTGCTGGGATTACAGGCATGGGCCACTATGCTCAGCCCACATTTCTATTCTTGAATGCTTATTTTTCCAGGTGAACTTTAGCATCATTTCATCAAGTTTAAAATATCCAATCTGTTTCTCTGAGCAGCCAGCCATTATCGCAAACCCCACCTTGGAGGCTTTCCTCTCTTGAAAACTAAACCAAAAAGGTTCTGGACTAAGGACAACAGGCATGGAGGGAGCAGGAGTGGGATGCAGCCCTGACTACAGGTTGGTGAAGTGAAATCCATAGAACGAACTGTGAGAACCCCAGACCCCTTTCCACACAGGGCTCCCAGAATGTTGGCATTCAACTTAAACCTCCTATGAGAGAAATTATCTGGAGAAATAGACTGGTTCACAGATAATGAGATTTAGAGGTGCCTTCAAATAAAGGCCAGATTTCTTAGTTATCCTACAGTGAGGCTCACCAGTTGATGAGCTTAGAACTTGCCCCTGCTCCAGTCCCTCTTTCTTTTTCACCTCCCTCTTAAATACGGTTACTCAGTCTGGGCTTTCTACAGAAGTGAGGAAAAACAGAATCAAAAGGACCGAAAAAAAAATTGCAGAAAGCAAACACAATTTAAGGTGCCAAAAAAAACTTCCAAAAACTATTATCAATATTTTCAGAGGCAAGAGAAGATATTGCATTCATGTAAGGGCATAGAAGGCTAGAAAAAAATTTCAGAAAAACAAAAAAGCTTTTAGAAATAAAAATACAAGGATTGAAATGAAAATTTCAAAATTGGAACATAAAGTTGGGGAAATCTTCCACAAAATATTTATATTGATAGAATATAGATAAAAAGATGTTTGAGTGAGTGATATAAAGAATTGAAAAGCAGAAGAGAAAAGATGAGATCACATCAGTTGGTCCAATATTTTTACTAAATAGGTTCCATAAGAAAGAGAAGAGAGAAAAGATGAAATTATCAAAGGAATGGCATGAGAAAATTTTCCACATTACAAGATATGAATTTCTAAATTGAAGGGCCCAAACATGAAACATGATGAGTAGAAACGAGCATTATACCAGACACATTATTGTGATATTTCAATATAAAATAAAGATAAGAGTCTAAATGATTTCTTGAGAGACAAAAGATAAATCACAAATGCAGTGATAAAAATCATACAGCAGTAGATTTCTGAAAACAGCACTGAAAACTAGAAGACAATAAAATATGTCTTAATTACAGCCTGGGAGCCTGAATAAAAATAATAGGTAGACTCAGAGTGGATCTTGGATGGAAGGTCAAGAAATCAAGTATAATAATGTTATACAAAGTAACTGGAGATTAAAGGAAAGAACCCCCTTATTTTTGAGACAGGGTCTCACTCTGTCACTCAAGTTGGAGTGCAGTGATCCGATCATGGCTCACTCCAGTCCCGACCTCCTGGGTCTAAGTAATCTTCTTGTCTCAGCCTCCTGAATAGCTAGGACTACAGGAACACACCACCATACCTGGCTAATTAAGAAAAAAAATATTTAGAGATAGGGTCTCACTATGTTGCCCAGGCTAGTCTCAAATTCCTGGGTTCAAATGTCTCAAGCCAAAGTGTTGGGATTACAGACATAAGCCACCATGCCTGGCCTAGGAAACTTTGAAGTTAAAGCCTTGGGTCAGTCATCAATGTCAGAAACATCTTAAAGAATGGATAGTGAGTACTAGACTTAGCCAAGATAGCCTCTTAGCTTGCCCCTATAGAGGGTGGGTCTCTACAGAGAGGCGTTGACCCTATTCACCTGCACAGACAGTGATTGCCATTGTCAGTGTCAAGTTTGAAGAGAAATAGATGTCACTACAGCAGCATAGCAGTTAAACTTTGCATTTTCAACCTTTTTCTTTCAAAGTCTCAAACCCTGAACCAACATGAACTTTCATGAGTGCAACCCATTTAAACGGAATATTGTCTGGGAGGAAGAACCAAACTCCATGCAATCCTAGTGTCCTCAGACAGTCTCTCTCTCACTTGTGGGATAACCCTAAGTGAATAAGAGCTGGTGTGACTTGAGCTCACATTGATCTTCAGGGTGGTACCCCTGTGCTCCAACATGTTTCCAAGAGGCGTCTGGGTATTCGGATGCCAGACCACCAACATGGATGCCTGATCGAAAGCAGAGGTAAGTAATTGCTTCTCTGAAGTGATTTCAAGTTTCTCCAACAGAACTATGTGTATTTTCATTTCATAGTATCCCTTTATTTATAGCAAAACAGACCAAAATACCTGCAACTAGTCTGAGCCGATTTGAAATGACAGGTATGGGAATTCCCAGTTGAATTCACACCAAGCTACATTTTCATACATCCCTAAGGGCAAATTTTGTGACATCTCTCACCAGAATGTTCCAGCCTGCCAGATAGAGGTGAATACTGTGATTTCAACTTGAATATTACACATAAACAAAAAGAATTATCTCAATAGCAACTTGCTTAAAGAAGCATCTTATAAACCTGAAGCACTTTAAGAACACTAAATTGGACTGATATGGATTTTTTCCCCTAATGTAGAAAGATATATATTAAAAAAAGGCCACAGCAGGGGCTGAAATATGTGACAAACAATTTGGAAACAGCTGTGCTGATTGTAATAGCCTCCCAATAACATACTGCTTGTATTTTCTTCTCAGTTTGATTCTTTGACTCCAGGAAGTACTGGAAAGATACAAAACATTTTTCTATGGCAAACTGCTTTTAATATGATCAATTACCTTTCCATCTTTATGCTGGGCTATGGTTTAAATTGCATGATTAATCTTTAACTCAAAGAGGTCTGAGGTGTGCTCTGTTTTTCTCCCTTTCTTTCTTTTCAAAAAGCATCTTAGAATTAAACAAAAATGTGAAAAAGGAATTTCAAATATCTATAGCAAGTGGTTTAATTTTTTAGCAACTATAGATGTTAGCTTACTGAAAAGAAAATTAAGACTGTTGTGAAACAGTCTGTGACTTTTATATGTTTAAAGCTCTGGCAACCAGAATCTCCAGAATATGTTGAAACTTCTCAAATTTTGCAATCCAGTTTTATGACCACAAAATCTTCCAGAAAGGTATGTTAAGTGCTTACCAGGTAGTATTAACTAGTAGTAAGTCTGGTATTTCTTACATTTTAAAAATAATCTGGAATTTGTTTTCATGTAAGGTCTGATGGTAGAATTATAACTTTCTTTTGTTTTTTTATAATTGGACAGCTAAATGGCTCAACTTCATCTCTTTCCTCTCTTCTCACTGAATTATAATGCCACTTTTAAACACGGAGTACATGTGCAAAAGTGTCCACAGACATGCCTCTCTTTTTTTTTTTCTGAATGTCCTATTCTATTCATTTGACCTCTCCATTCCTATCCTCATACCACATTGCAATAATTATAATTTTTTATTCCATTATTCTTTCTACTGCTAAATTGCTTTAGACCTTATTGTAACTCATTTATTCTTTCATATGAAATTAAAATAATGTTGTCCATTCTAGAAAAAAATAGCTCTATTATTCTTATGGGAATTGAATTACATTTTAAAATTAATTTTGGGAAAATTAGCACTTTTAATATTGAACTTTCCTATCCAACAACATAGTGTATCTCTCTTCTATTCAAATGTTATAATTTCTTTCCTACAGATTCTTTATGTTACCTCTGCTGTGCTTTTAGTTGTCCCTCAGCTCCACAGCAGAAACACATCATCTGAATGAAACTTAGTCCTTCCTTAGTTTCCTCTGGGAGACTTCACCAAGGCAGGCAATAAGGGTACCATCTCTGAGGGTTAAGACAGGTATTTCTAGCATTTCCTAGGCTCAATTTCATGTTCCTGTTTCTGGTTAGCTCTCTACACAGGTTGTGTACTCATTTTTGCTATGCCTGTATCAATTTTTGATCCTTTTTCTCCCTCTCACCCTTGCTATGCATCATTTGGCAAGCTGTATATTTAGTCCTTTGATCAGTGCCTTGATTTGATCAGGCTTGCAACCATTTCTGCCTCTCTTTCATACTGAGCCACAAAGCATATTCAAGGATATGTCCGGCTTGGGGGAAAATAGGCTGTACAGAGCTCTCTTCAGATTCCAGGCACTTTAATTCATAGTTCTCCAACAGACAATAGAGTACATCTTACTGACTGCCTAATAAAAAGAGGAGAAATTGCCCTCTGAATGTGCTATAATTGGATCATGTCTTTACTCTCATGGTATTCAATAGGGATCCAAGATGATATAAGGTTTTTTATCTCTCTATTAGTGTGAGACAGATATAAACCACAGTTAGGAAATCAGAAACTTTCCACTCCCATGATGGGGAATCGAATGAACAATTCAGATTCCACATTTATGGTAACCTTTTATGTATCAGGTGGAGTACTCGGTGTTTTCTGAGATATTATCTGACTAAGCTTTTCAAAAGATAGCCATGAGCCCAGAAATTTGAAATTTAAGAAAAGGTTATGAAAGCTTAAGTCCATGTATTGAAATTATGACAGGTGATAACTGTCATGTTCAGAGTTCTTCAGAGTCCTTCAGAATGCACTGGTCCTCTTGCAAATAAGAAGAAACGGGGTTCTTGGTATAGGCCCTCATGGACACTGGGGGTGGGACAGGGAGACAGCATGGCTTCTCCAGGGGTGTGCTACCCACAGTGATGCCTGCTTGGTGCTGCTGGCAGCAGCCCATGAACAACATATACAAGTCAGCCAACTTGCCTCAGAGTCTCGTTACTAAACCTAGCAGACCCAGAGGCCTGTGAATTTAGAATGATAATCCCAAGTGCACTGGCCACACCACAGGCACTGACAGTCACCACCACGCCTATGGTTAAGAAAGCAGATGAAACATTATTATTGGCTCAATGCAAGTTTCATGAGCCTTACAACAAAGCCTATCCTTCCAAGAATAGTTCAAACTCACTTTATGAATGAATCACCTGGTAACTGACCGAGATTGAATACAGGTATAAGAACAGAAATCTTCCAAACTCTAAGAATGGTCCACAGATGGAGACCCTCTCCATCAGGCAGTAATCATTTGGCCCAGACGGTATCTTGCCCATGCCCTTATGCCACTTGCTCCTCCTCTCTGTCTTGTAAGAGCGCTGGCGAAACAAACTGCTTGAACATCAGACTGTGTCTAAGACTCATCACTGGAATTGGATGGAAGAGGAAAAGCATCCCCCTGCAACCTGGTTAACTAGAACCACTCAAGAGGCCTGAATGTGACAATAACTCAGAGTCAATAATAATAGCAAAATAAATGTAGCAAGTATCATTTGATGCGTTTTGTTATTAAGTATTATAAACAAATTTATCATCACTGACTTTCAAAACAACTGCAGGAGGTATATATGATTATCCTCATTTTATAGATGAGGAAAATAGGTGCTCAGGGAGATTAGGCACCTTCTCCAAGGCTGCACAGTGTAAATAACAAAAGGAAAAATTGAGTCTTCATCTGAAATTTATAACTTTAAATTTCTTTTTTTTTTTTTTGTGACAGAGTCTCGCTCTGTTGCCCAGCCTGGAGTGCAGTGGCACAATCTCGGCTCACTGCAAGCTCTGCCTCCTGGGTTCATGCCATTCTCCTGCCTCAGCCTCCCAAGTAGTTGGGACTACAGGCGCCCACCACCACGCCCAGCTAATTTTTTTTGGTATTTTTCGTAGAGACAGGGTTTCACTATCTTAGCCAGGATGGTCTCGACCTCCTGACCTTGTGATCCGCCCGCCTCGGCCTCCCAAAGTGCTGGGATTATAGGCATGAGCCACTGCCCTGGGCCTAAATTTCATATTCTTTACAGTACAATATTCTGCTTTCATTCACTTTTACCATCTGCACAATTCTAAGAAGTTTAGAGAAGGTTGGTTACCTGATTTTATAATGTAAAACATTAGAAACAGTGAATTAGAAAGAGTTGGGAGACTACTAGAAGTACAAAAATTTATGACTGAAATTGAAGGAGGAGAAAGCTTTTTAAAAACATCCCCAAACACCAAAAACACCCCCAGAAAACTCCTCAAAACAAATGACTTGGGGACAGTGAATGAAGAGGCAAATAGTTCCATATGTCCTCAATAATCTTTGAGGTTATCACTGGATTATGGCATTAAAAAGGGTTAACCTATATACAGTCTATGCTGCTTAAAATGTCGAGAAAATTTCCCAGAGAATTTTGGGAATAGAAGGGACGCTTAGGGATCATGATGCCGAGCTGACTTATGGAAATAAATAATCGAGGTCTAGAAAGTGACAGAGTTGATTCAGCCAAGTGCTGGTCATTGGCAGAGCCCAGCACAGACCTCACTTTCCCTAAATCCTGGCCTAGGAGGCTAACAACTCCTCCTGGCTTCTCCCAAGGATGTTTAGTGACACCTTAGAAACCTCTCATAAATATGGATAAAGAAGAGATCTCCTTGTTTGACATTGTTAAATTAGATGTCTAAATTTTACGTGTATCTTTTATCAATTGCTCATTTTTGCTCAATAAATTAGATACTAGATAAGTGCCTGCCTGAGAGATGATCATGCTCCAGTCAGAGAAACCAAGAAATAAAACAAAAGAGAAAGCACAGTGTGATAAGAAGAATGCTCAGGATGAAATGGGAGCCAAGAGGGCACCTAACACAGCTGGGCTTTAGAAAGAGTCAGGCATGTTTTCCAAGACAGGTGTTTTGCATTCAGTCTTGATGATGGATGCCTAGGGAATGAGCCAGGTGAATAAAGGAGGAAATGCCATTTTGGGTAAAGGGATAGAATCTATCATCACGTGGAGTCTCTAGAGAAGTATCAGATATCTTACTTTGATTAGGCAAGAGTCAGCAAACTATAGTCAGCCTAATCCATTCTGTTTTTATAAATAAAGTTTTATTGGAACACCAGCCATGCCCATTTATTGACCTAGTGCATATGGCTGCTTTTGCACTACAACTAGTGTCAAGTAATTGCCATCAAAACCCTATGGCCCATAAAGCCTAAAATATTTACCATCTAGCCATTTACACGAAAACATTGACTGAACCCTGGATTAGAATAGATGGAGGCAGGGGGCAGATTGCACACTGGTGGCCCGTGGGCTTCATCTGATTGCTATGCTTTATTTAGTCTGCTCATTGTCTTTTCATTTATTAGTTTAAAAGAAAATACATTTAACATTTTAAAATTAGGAGAATTCACATAGAAAATCCAGATTTTTAACTTCTTTTGAAAAATCAGATCTGTCCCTTTTGGACCTACTTTTCAGCATGGCAAGAATTAGAGCTAAAAAGCAGCAGTTGCCTTAAGGTGGGGAATGGGCTCTCCATTTTCCCGTTGTCCTTCCCACTCTCTCCCAGCCTACTTCACTTATCTATCTACCTTAGCCCTGTAGGAATCTAAGTTTACAAATTCCTGAAGAGGCTGGAGATAAAGGTGGTAGTGATTCAATGAAGGGCTAGGAATTATTTGTTAAGAACTTTCAACCTGATCCTGAGACGCCAGGCAGCCACTGGCCTCTGGCCTGACAAGACTGGTCTTTTAGAGAACAAGACTGATAGCAACATAAAGAATGGACTACAGGAGAGAGAGTCCAGAGGCAATGGGATCACTTAAGAGGCTTTTGAATAAGTCCAGAAAGGATTGAGGGAGATCATAAAGTGGTATCAGAGTGAAGGTAAAGAGAAAATGGATCCTAGGAATATTTGCATGACAGCCAAGAACACAGCTGAGACTGAGATACAAGTAGGAGATCTTGGAGTGCTGGAACCGTGGGAGGAAAAGCATTAATATAGACCATTTCCTGAGCCCTCTTAGGGAATTCTCAACAGAGTCCTAAAGTCAATAATGCATAAGGCCTACTTTATGTGGCCAACTGATTGAACTTGTGTCAAGAGAGTTTTATATTAAATACATTGGGAGCTTTGGAGATCAGAAGTTGGAGGAGTATAGAGAGGGTCTTTGGAAGGGAGTGTAAAGAAAAGTATTCGATGCCAATGGTCAGAGCCTTCCATAATAGGAGTAGAATATTAGGGTAGCTGAAGGGAGAAGGGGCTTTGTCAGGAGTCTCAGGGCCCAATGTTCATTCCAGATTGGAAAGTCTGGTAACTGTAGAAAACCACAGACATCCCACAGGGGCTCAAAGACAGTACAAAGTTCATTTGCCACTTCCCACTCTTTCCTAATTCTGTCTAGAAGACAAAAGGTGGTTCCTGCTGGTGAGAGAGAGGTGGCCTTAGGACCAACCTGGCACGATGACAGGAGAATGACCATTCTTCTCAGCCTCCTTGGATACACTACAGGGGAGACATTTCTTGCCTGATGAAAAGATCCTGATGAGCCTTCAAAGATATCCTCATCTAACAGTAAGAAGTATCACCTTACAAAACTGAAATGCCACTTTCATCTGTGAACACAGAAATAATATCAAAATAGCTATTTATTTGAAGAAGAAATAAAGCAAGCAGATAGAATTTCCTATCTACTTGGCCTAGTGAAAGACTCAGAGGGTTTAGACCATTCTTCTGAAGAGAGAATTGGCAGTTTCCATGGAGCATCACATCAAAGGGACTGCAGAACCATGAAACCCTGCATTTTGAAAATTGGGATAGCTTCCACAATCAAGCTCATCATAACAGTGAAAATAATTTTACAGAAGAGAAAGAATTGTTCTTTAGCAACCTACACACCTCTATCTAACTCATTCAGAAGAGCTGCTGAGGTAGTTTTCTAAGCCCTGTATTTTATTGATATTGTAGAGAGATGTTGAAGAATGTCCACAAGGAGTAACTGAAAGACAAGAGGAAAATCAAGGAGGTTAAAAAGAAAACACAGAAGATGCTGCCACTATAAAGATTATACAGTTTCTCAAGCAAAATCCCAGACAGTGTTCAGTTTTTAAGAGAACTTGTCATAAATGTTCTAAGCAGAGTAATTTTGTTTGTGTAAGGGAGAATAAAGAAAGAAAAAGCATTTCCAAACACTAACTAATACTTAGAAAAAAGGAAGCTTACGCAAAGCAAACCGGAACCATTATGCTTGTCTGATGAAAATGGGATTTTCAAATTTGCAAAAATTTACATTGTATACATAATGCAGACACATTTTCCATGCATAGCAGTCAAATATTAAAATCTTTACAGAAGCTTTTATTTTGTGTAATGCATGTATACAATGATTTGCGTTGCCCTAGATAAAAATTCATCTCATGGTGTCATGCTGTGTCAATCCCGAGGAAAGGCAAATAAATCCTCATTTTACCAGGACAATAGCTTTGGGTAAGAGGATAAACTAGCTCTCATTAATCTCCACTCTTTTCCAGCTGAATCCAGAGGACCACCCACATGGACAGCAGTTTAAGAAAGGACCAAGTCGAAGCACTTCTAAGCATACCCTTTTCTTTCTCAGTATCTCAGCAACTTCTGGTCCCGCCAACAGAAGAGGCCAAGTAATAAATACCATTTTCATCATGTTTTACAGTTTACAAAGAGCCCATCGCATTAAGTTTTCACAAAGTTGCACCTGTATTTTGTTGAAGGTCAAATAGGGTAAGAAACTTGTCCAGGAACATTAGGAAGTGGCAGAGGTGGAGCTTCAACCTGGGTGTCTTTGGTCACCTAATACCTTCCCACTAAACCCCTTAACACAGCTGTATCTTAGCCACAGAAGAGAAGTGAGAGGCTGAGAGAATCCTTCTTCTGGTAGCCCCTGCCTCCATGAGTGATGCTATAGTCCTTTTGTTCATTTGCAGGGAGAATCCTACCTTTAAAAGACTTTTTTGATCTATTTCATTTGACATGTAATTCATTTACCTCACTTCAAAATATACCATATATCTGATCCATCCTAAACTCCTCCACTTTCTAGCTGAGGGGTTTTGGCAAGTAGTTGAACCTCCCTGAACCTCAGTTTTCTCATCTATTAATAGGATAAGAAGTAAGTATAGCATAGTTGTTGGGATTATTAAATGAGCTGGGATATGTAAATCACTTATCAGTACTAACACATAGTAAACACTCAAGTGTTAAAATTTAAAAATCAGCAGGGGGCTGGGCTGTGTTGAGTGAGAGGAGTAGTGCACCTGTACAGAGACCTGTGGTGGTGAGCTCAGACAAGCGCCCAGAGGTGGTGGACAAGCACCAGGGAGCCCACGTGGGTGTGGGCATCCAGAACAACTCCTCAGGCAGACTCAGCAAGAACTCAGAGGGCACCTGAGTTGCTCTAGGTGGTAACCAGCCTTTGAAAAAGGAGAAACAGGGGGGTGGAGCCAAGATGGCCGAATAGGAACTGCTCCAGTCTACAGCTCCCAGCGTGAGTGACGCAGAAGATGGGTGATTTCTGCATTTCCAACTGAGGTACTGGGTTCATCTCACTGGTGAGTGTCAGAAAGTGGGTGCAGGACAGTGGGTGCAGCGACCAAGTGTGAGCTGAAGCAGGGCGAGGCATTGTCTCACCCAGGAAGTACAAGGGGTCAGGGAATTCCCTTTCCTAGTCGAAGAAAGGGGTGACAGACGGCACCTGGAAAATCGGGTCACTCCCACCCTAATACTGCGCTTTTCCAATGGTCTTAGCAAACGGCACGCCAGGAGATTATATCCCGCGCCTGGCTCAGAGGGTCCTATGCCCATGGAGCCTCGCTCATTGCTAGCACAGCAGTCTGAGATCAAACTGCAAGGTGACAGCGAGGCTGGGGGAGGGGCGCCCACCATTGCCAAGGCTTGAGTAGGTAAACAAAGTGGCCCAGAAACTTGAACTGGGTGGAGCCCACCACAGCTCAAGGATGCCTGCCTGCCTCTGTAGACTCCACCTCTGGGGGCAGGGCATTGCCAAACAAAAGGCAGCAGAATCCTCTGCAGACTTAAATGTCCCTGTCTGACAGCTTTGAAGAGAGTAGTGGTTCTCCCAGCATGCAGCTGGAGATCTGAGAACGGACAGACTGCCTCCTCAAGTGGGTCCCTGACCCCCGAATAGCCTAACTGGGAGGCACCCCCCAGTAGGGGCAGACTGACACCTCACATGGCTGGGTACTCCTCTGAGACAAAACTTCCAGAGGAACGATCAGGCAGCAACATTTGCTGTTTACCAATATCCGCTGTTCTGCAGCCTCCGCTGCTGATACCCAGGCAAACAGGGTCTGGAGTGGACCTCCAGCAAACTCCAACAGACCTGCAGCTGAGGGTCCTGACTGTTAGAAGGAAAACTAACAAACAGAAAGGACATCCACACCAAAAACCCATCTGTATGTCACCATCATCAAAGACCAAAGGTAGAGAAAACCACAAAGATGGGGAAAAAACAGAGCAGAAAAACTGGAAACTCTAAAAATCAGAGTGCCTCTCCTCCTCCAAAGGAACTCAGCTCCTCACCAGCAATGGAACAAAGCTGGACGGAGAATGACTTTGACGAGTTGAGAGAAGAAGGCTTCAGACGATCAAACTACCCTGAGCTAAAGGAGAAAGTTCGAACCCATGGCAAAAAAGTTAAAAACCTTGAAAAAAAATTAGACAAATGGCTAACTAGAATAAGCAATGCAGAGAAGTGCTTAAAGGACCTGATGGAGCTGAAAACCAAGGCACGAGAACTACATGACAAATGAACAAGCCTCAGTAGCCAATTCAATCAACTGGAAGAAAGGGGATCAGTGATGGAAGATCAAATGAATGAAATGAAGTGAGAAGAGAAGTTTAGAGAAAAAAGAATAAAAAGAAATGAACAAAGCCTCCAAGAAATATGGGACTATGTGAAAAGACCAAATCTACGTCTGACTGGTGTACCTGAAAGTGATGGGGAGAATGGAACCAAGTTGGAAAACACTCTGCAGGATATTATCCAGGAGAACTTCCCCAATCTAGCAAGGCAGGCCAACATTCAAATTCAGGAAATACAGAGAACGCCACAAAGATACTCCTCGAGAAGAGTAACTCCAAGACACATAATTGTCAGATTCACCAAAGTTGAAATGAAGGAAAAAATGTTAAGGGCAGCCAGAGAGAAAGGTCGGGTTACCCACAAAGGGAAGCCCATCAGACTAACAGCTGATCTCTCGGCAGAAACTCTACAAGCCAGAAGAGAGTGGGGGCCAATATTCAACATTGTTAAGGAAAAGAATTTTCAACCCAGAATTTCATATCCAGCCAAACTAAGCTTCATAAGTGAAGGAGAAATAAAATACTTTACAGACAAGAAAATGCTGAGAGATTTTGTCACCACCAGGCCTGCCCTAAAAGAGCTCCTGAAAGAAGCACTAAACATGGAAAGGAACAACTGCTACCAGCCATTGCAAAAACATGCCAAATTGTAAAGACCATCGATGCTAGGAAGAAACTGCATCAACTAACAAGCAAAATAACCAGCTAACATCACAATGACAGGATCAAATTCACACATAACAATATTAACCTTAAATGTAAATGGGCTAAATGCTCCAATTTAAAGACACAGACTGGCAAATTTGATAGAGTCAAGACCCATCAATGTGCTGTATTCAGGAAACCCATCTCACATACAGAGACACACATAGGCTCAAAATAAAGGGATGGAGGAAGATCTACCAAGCAAATGGAAAACAAAGAAAGGCAGCTGTTGAAATCCTAGTCTCTGATAAAACAGACTTTAAACCAACAAAGACCAAAAGAGACAAAGAAGGCCATTACATAATGGTAAAGAGATCAATTCAACAAGAAGAGCTAACTATCCTAAATATATGTGCACCCAATATAGGAGCACCCAGATTCATAAAGCAAGTCCTTAGAGACCTACAAAGAGACTTAGACTCCCACACAATAATAATGGGAGACTTTAACACCCCACTGTCAACGTCAGACAGATCAAGGAGACAGAAAATTAACAAGGATATCCAGGAATTGAACTCAGCTCTGCACCAAGAGGACCTAATAGACATCTACAGAATTCTCCACCCCAAATCAACAGAATATACATTCTTCTCAGCACTACACAGCACTTATTCCAAAATTGACCACATAGTTGGAAGTAAAGCACTCCTCAGCAAATGTAAAAGAACAGAAATTATAACAAACTGTCTTTCAGACCACAGTGCAATCAAACTAGAACTCAGGATTAAGAAACTCACTCAAAACCGCTCAACTACATGCAAACTGAACAACCTGCTCCTGAATGACTACTGGGTATGTAATGAAATGAAGGCAGAAATAAAGATGTTCTTTGAAACCAACGAGAACAAAGACACAACATACCAGAATCTCTGGGACACATTCAAAGCAGTGTGTAGAGGGAAATTTATAGCACTAAATGCCCACAAGAGAAAGCAGGAAAGATCTAAAATTGACACCCTAACATCACAATTAAAAGAACTAGAGAAGCAAGAGCAAATACATTCAAAAGCGAGCAGAAGGCAAGAAATAGCTAAGATCAGAGCAGAACTGAAGGAAATAGAGACACAAAAAACCCTTCAAAAAATCAATGAATCCAGGAGCTAGTTTTTTGAAAAGATCAACAAAATTGACAGACCGCTAGTAAGACTAATAAAGAAGAAAAGAGAGAAGAATCAAATAGACGCAATAAAAAATGATAAAGGGGATACCACCACCGATCCCACAGAAATATAAACTACCATCAGAGAATACTATAAACACCTCTATGCAAATAAACTAGAAAATCTAGAAGAAATGGATAAATTCCTGGACACATACACCCTCCCAAGACTAAACCAGGAAGAAGTTGAATCTCTGAATAGACCAATAACAGGCTCTGAAATTGAGGCAATAATTAATAGCTTACCAACCAAAAAAAGTTCAGGACCAGATGGATTCACAGCCAAATTCTACCAGAGGTACAAGGAGGAGCTGGTACCATTCCTTCTGAAATGATTCCAATCAACAGGAAAAGAGGGAATCCTCCCTAACTCATTTTATGAGGCCAGCATCACCCTGATACCAAAGCCTGGCAGAGACACAACAAAAAAAGAGAATTTTAGACCAATATCCCCGATGAATATCAGTGCAAAAATCCTCAAGAAAATACTGGCCAACTGAATCCAGCAGCACATCAAAAAGCTTATTCACCATGATCAAGTGGGCTTCATCCCTGGGATGCAAGACTGGTTCAACATATGCAAATCGATAAACATAATCCAGCATATAAACAAAACCAATGACAAAAACCATATGATTATCTCAATAGGTGCAGAAAAGGCCTTTGACAAAATTCAACAGCCCCTCATGCTAAAAACTCTCAATAAATCAGGTATTGATGGGACATATCTCAAAATAATAAGAGCTATCTATGACAAACCCACAGCCAATATCATACTGAATCGGCAAAAACTGGAAGCATTCCCTCTGAAAACTGACACAAGACAGGGATGCCCTCTCTTACCACTCCTATTCAACAGAGTGTTGGAAGTTCTGGCCAGGGCAATCAGGCAGGAGAAAGAAATAAAGGGTATTCAATTAGGAAGAGGAAATCAAATTGTCCCTGTTTGCAGATGACATGATTGTATATCTAGAAAACCCCATCATCTCAGCCCAAAATCTCCTTAAGCTGATAAGCAACTTCAGCAAAGTCTCAGGATACAAAATCAATGTGCAAAAATTACAAGCATTCTTATACACCAATAACAGACAAACAGAGAGCCAAATCATGAGTGAACTCCCATTCACAATTGCTTCAAAGAGAATAAAATATGTAGGAATCCAACTTACAAGGGATGTGAAGGACCTCTTCAAGGAGAACTACAAACCACTGCTCAATGAAATAAAAGAAGACACAAACAAATGGAAGAACATTCCATGCTCATGTGTAGGAAGAATCAATATTGTGAAAATGGCCATAATGCCCAAGGCAATTTATAAATTCAATGCCATCCCCATCAAGCTACCAATGACTTTCTTCACAGAATTGGAAAAAACTACTTTAAAGTTCATATGGAGCCAAAAAAGAGCCCGCATTGCCAAGTCAATCCTAAGCCAAAAGAACAAAGCTGGAGGCATCATGCTACCTGACTTCAAACTATACTACAAGGCTACAGTAACCAAAACAACATGGTACTGGTACCAAAACAGAGATATAGACCAATGGAACAGAACAGAGCCCTCAGAAATAATGCCACATATCTATAACCATCTGATCTTTGACAAACCTGACAAAAACAAACAATGGGGAAAAGATTCCCTATTTAATAAAAGGTGCTGGGAAAACTGGCTAGCCATATGTAGAAAGCTGAAACTGGATCCCTTCCTTATACCTTATACAAAAATTAATTCAAGATGGATTAAAGACTTAAATGTTAGACCTAAAACCATAAAAACCCTAGAAGAAAACCTAGGCAATACCATTCAGGACATAAGCATGGGCAAAGACTTCATGTCTAAAACACTAAAAGCAATGGCAACAAAAGCCAAAATTGACAAATGGGATCTAATTAAACTAAAGAGCTTCTGCACAGCAAAAGAAACTACCATCAGAGTGAACAGGCAACCTACAGAATGGGAGAAAATTTTTCCAATCTACTCATCTGACAAAGGGCTAATATCCAGAATCTACAATGAACTCAAACAAATTTACAAGAAAAAAACAACCAACCCCATCAAAATGTGGGCGAAGGATATGAACAGACACTTCTCAAAAGAAGACATTTATGCAGCCAAAAGACACAGGAAAAAATGCTCATCATCACTGGCCATCAGAGAAATGCAAATCAAAACCACAATGAGATACCATCTCACACCAGTTGGAATGGCGATCATTAAAAAGTCAGGAAACAACAGGTGCTGGAGAGGATGTGGAGAAATAGGAACACTTTTATGCTGTTGGTGGGACTGTAAACTAGTTCAACCATTGTGGAAGTCAGTGTGGCGATTCCTCAGGGATCTAGAACTAGAAATACAATTTGACCCTGCAATCCCATTACTGGGTATACACCCAAAGGATTATAAATCATGCTGCTATAAAGACACATGCACACGTATGTTTATTGCGGCACTATTCACAGTCACAAAGACTTGGAACCAACCCAAATGTCCAACAATGATAGACTGGATTAAGAAAATGTGGCACATATACACCATGGAATATTATGCAGCCATAAAAAATGATGAGTTCATATCCTTTGTAGGGACATGGATGAAGCTGGAAACCATCATTCTCAGCAAACTATCGCAAGGACAAAAAACCAAACACCGCATGTTCTCACTCATAGGTGGGAATTGAACAATGAGAACACATGGACACAGGAAGGGGAACATCACACACCGGGGCTTGTTGTGGGGTGGGGGGATGGGGGAGGGATAGCATTTGGAGATATACCTAATGTTAAATGACGAGTTACTGGGTACAGCACACCAACATGGCACATGTATACATATGTAACTAACCTGGACGTTGTGCACATGTACCCTAAAACTTAATATAATAATAATTTAAAAAAAAGAAATAGGAGAAACAAAAAAGGAAAACTTACTATCCCATGACAGATAGACAACCGGGCAGCAAGAGGGTTGAATTTTGGGAGACTGCACTAGCTCCTTTTTTTTTTTTTTTGAGACAGTGTCTCACTCTGTCACCAGGCTGGAGTGCAGTGGCATGATCTCGTCTCACCACAACCTCTGCCTCCTGGGTTCAAATGATTCTCCTGCCTCAGTCTCCCAAGTAGCTGGGACTACAGGCGTGCACCACCATGCCTGGCTAATTTTTGTATTTTTAGTAGCGATTGGGTTTCACTATATTGACCAGGCTGGTCTTGAACTCCTGACCTTGTGTTCTGCTCGCCTCGGCCTCCCAAAGTGCTAGGATTACAAGCATGAGCCACCACGCCCAGCCGACTGCACTAGCTTTTCAAAGCCGTAAGGAGATTTGGGATTTCTTGAAGGCTATTGCACGTGTTTTTGAGAGAAGTTATTGTGAACTTGCACAAGTAGTCATTGATAGTGCAAATGTAACATTATACATGGTGCACTTACAGAGTGCTATGATGAACTGGGGAATAGATATCAGCTTCCAATCTATTGCTTGGCAGCAGCAATCACCATGACAGAGAAAAAGAACATAGAGACTCTGAATGTTCCTCAGCCACCACCCAATTCTAGTTATGAATGTCAGCTCCGTTTGTGTCTTGCCACAGGCAAAGCCCTCAAACTTTTGGTGTGCAGCACAGACACAGTATGCCACATGCAGAGGCGGTGACTCGCAGCAGAAGGAGTGGAACTATGTAGTCAGCGGTGGTTCTTTTCTGGCAGACCTCTCACTAACAAAATGAAATTGGAAGAGCCAAAGATCCCAAAGGACTGTGCTGTACAGGTTAGAGTGAGGCAACCTTTTCAAAACCCAACACCAGTTGAGAACTGAATTGGTCCCATTGGCTGATCCCCAGGCCCCTCCCGCTCCTTTTCATTGTTGCTGTCATTTCCTACTGGATGGTGTGAAATTTCTTTGCACTGCTCTGAATTCCCTATGAATGGATTTAGTTCTGAGGAATTACAAGTGAAAAATTTCATCTGTGAATGAGACCAACACAAATAATTAATAAAATACAAAGAGCTAAAACAAATAGTTGGAAGCTGGTAATGAATGAGCTTGGGTGGAGGTGAACATTTACTTCTCCAATTAAACTGTGAGCTGCCAGGAGGGCAGCCCATTATTTACTTAATATATCTGTATTTATTGTATTTGATTTATCTAATTTAATGTATTATGTATTTTACCCTTCTAAACACCATTAGGAAAATACGGCTTTCTCACTGTAACTGCTGGGAAGGAGCATGCTTTTGTTTAGAATGTGAGCAACTGGGGAGCAGAAGCTGTTTTCCTAAGGGACAGCTAGATGGAGGATGGAGGGATGGAGGGATAAAAGGAGAGAAAGGGTACAGATGCACCTCCACTTACGATGGGGTTACATCCCAATAACCTTATGGTAAGTTGAAAATATCGTTAAGTTGAAGATGCATTTAATATACACCTAACCAATGGAACATCATGGCCTAGCCTAGCCTACCTTAAATGTGCTCAGGTCACTTACATTCTCCTACACTTGGGCAAAATCGTCTACCATAAAGCCTATAATATAATGTTGAGTACCTCATATCATGTATTGAATACTGTTCCAAAAGTGAAAAACAGAATGGTTGTATGGGTGCTCTTAGTATGTTTCCTACTGAATGAGTGTCGCTAAACACTCTAGTATTTAGAGTTGACAATACTGTAAAGTTGAAAAATCATTACCTCAAAGCATTGTACATTGGAGACCATCTGTATTATAAACACTCACTCTATCATATTTAACGTTAGTAAGATGGACTATAGAGACATATTTTAGTCATTTAAATGACTATGTTTGATTATTTCTGTTAGAATAATCATTTTTTGAACTGCAAAATAATTTTATGGCCTAAACTTTGGTGGTATCAGAGTTCATAACATAAAATTAGAAGACATTTTGTCAACAGTCTCATTTTATAGATGCTGTGAATCAGGCCCAAGGAATGTATTTAAATATGTATTTAAAATATTACAGTCAATACTATTCTATTTTCTCCCAGATTAATATATTCAAAACTTCTTATTGAGCAAAAATAATAATAATGTAGTTCAGTTAAGTATATATATTTTTTCCAAAAGATTAAATCAATCATCAGCAAAGGAGCTACACTATCGAAATTTAACTATTTAGTCTTTTTGGGGTAAATTATGACCATCTCCCTGTTTTCCTCTGTAACATCTGCATGTAGAGAAGTTACTTTTGTGGTGACATCATCAAGAGATAAGGTAATGTCTTAAAAATGTAACTGACTCTAATCAGTAACCACACGGGGGAACCACTAAATAAATAAATGGCCTGTCCACCCAAATAATTTATCAATTAATAGACAATCATAAGCTTGACAGCTTGTCTGAGGTCCAAACTACTGACTCAACAAGTACATACTGAGTATCTACTAGTGCAGACAACTGTGCTGAACGAAGGTATAGGTTGGTGAGCAAAACAGACATTGTCCCTGCTAGCATGGAGTTTAAAATATATTAGGGAATAATAGACAATAAATGAGTAAACAAAATATAATTACAAATTATGATATGTGCTACGATTGGGGCATAGTATTTAGAGTTGCCAATATTAAATACTAAGACTTTATTCATTATTGATCTGAAATTCAAATTTAACTGGGTGTCCTACATCTTTATTTGCTAAATCTGGTAGCCCTACCAGTATATGTGCGTGTGTGTGCGTGTGTGTGTGTGTGTGTGTGTATGTGTGTAGTGGGGGGCAAGGGAGAGAGATCTACTAGCTATAATAGTCGGGCAAAATTCATGCCAAGACACTCCATTTAAATTGACATTTGACAGATGAGAAAGAGCTGTCCAGGAAAGAAAGAGGGTGGAATGGTGGGATGTTTTAGGTGGCACTGGGGGTAGAGAATTCCAGACAAAAAGAATAGCATGTTCAAAGGTCCTGAGATGTTCATTCACTCAACAAGTGTTTATTAAGAGTCTATTATGAGCCAGGCATTAGGCACTGGGGATTCAGTGGTGACCAGAACAGAAGCACTCCTTGTCTTCTTAGGGCTGTAAATCTGAAGGACCAATGGAGGATGTCAAGACACAGCAGCAGAGAAATCATTTTTGGCAAGGAGATGAAAGATAATCCAATTATATTATTTTTACTTCCTTAGTGGCTAATATGAGGCTCAATGAAAAAACAAAAACATGTATTTTTTGTTAATTCAACAACCATTTATCCTCAACTTGGCCTGGGGGAAAAAGAGAAAAAAAAACTGACAGACAACCTTTTGTTATTCTTTATAATAATTATCTTTGCGTTATTCATCAAGGAGATGCTTCAAACTCAGTGAGAAGTGAAGTGAACTGAAATACAGAGATTTCACATTTATTTAAATAACTCCTTAAGCCAAGCCATTTAAGTAGGGAAAAGAGGCAAAACCCAGAGAAGCAACAGCAGAAAATAACCACTTGTCTGATTGATTGTGTCTCAAGAACTGCAGAGCTGCTCTAGCAATGTAACCACCTTCTAGGAAGGTGCAGGATAACCACAAATACCTTCCATTTTAGTGAATTGTCTTTTTGCTCTGAACATGCCAGTTTATTTGGGGTGAAGAAGTGATTCTTGTGGATAGGAGCATAAAGCCTTTTCTTTTATCACAGAAGCTAAGGTAGATTATTTCTGCCTTGACTATTATCGGTGAGATTTTTCAGATAAGATCAATTTTGTTAATGATAATGCAGTTCATGGTGAAAAATAATCAGAGTTTAACTCTCAGACCCTGGATTGAGTTTACTAAGTGAAAATTTGAGGGGGAAAATGGAATTCTGATTTATAGCTCCCTTTTGAGTTTGATCATTTGAAAAAATTTAAAAAATAAATTCATATTCCAATGTATTTTCTGAATATGATAGACTTTGCTTACAGTATATTTCTTTGGAAATGCTGTTACCTAAGATTATTTATCAGTTAATAGCTTAAAACAAAATCTGGTAGGATGATTAAAATATAATTAATAATTCAGAGACTAGTTATGTCAAACTAACCTTAAATACACAAGAAGTCTTTTTCCAGCTCGTTGCTATATTTTGGGAATCTTGATATTTTATTTAGTATACTTGCTATACCTCTCAGATTCATATCAATTGCAAATTTGACAAGCCTGCAATCGGTCCCATGATTTCAGTCACTGATAAAAATATTAAACAGGATAAGTCCTTAAATAGAGCTCTCTGCAAAGCTACTAGAAATACTGGATTTTATTGCTAAATAAATCAATACCCAATTACTTAATTTTGCCTACATCTAACTCTAAATCCTTCAAATTAGTCCGCAAGTTACTGATGAGAGGCCAAGTGCCTTGCATAAATCCAAACAAAACTTAGTAGGGATTAAAAATAATCCCTGCATTTGGGTCAAAATTTCTAATGCACTTTTGAAAATATAGAAGTAAACTTGTTCACAGGAGAGCAACTACAATGATGAAGGGAATCAGAACTATATCTTATACAGAACTGAAGTAGGAACTTGCAGAGGAGACAACATTTAATTCTTTTTGATAGTTTTACTTTTTCTATTATTTAAACAGCTTTCATATCAAGGAGAGGGTACTCTTGTTCAATATTACAGGTGACAAATTCAAATTTCCACAGGGGTTGGGCAGGCAATGTGAGTGAGGAAAGTCTCACTCTTTCACATTTCGTTCCTTGATAGAGACATGAGCACAAAATATATTGCCTTTCCTCTTATCTCTTTCATAAAAAGCCACTGTTCAAACTCAATACCCCATAGCAAATGGTCCCTAGGCTCAGTTTGGAGGTGTTGTGCCTGGGTTAAGGGGAGGGATAGCCGCTTCTTAATGCCAGCTTAATTGTTGTCAGAGGAGATGTATCTACACTCTCCCAATATTCCTACATCTTCCAGTTTTTCCAAAAGAAACTAGAAATCTGGATTTTTATGCTAGTTCTCTTGATTTTTTAAAATTTGGACAATAAATTTATATTTTTCTAAAAAACACTTTGCTAGTCAATACTGGGCAGGCACAACAATACATAGGCTGCTCCTGACTATGATTCCCACATGCTGGACCAGAACCAGTGACTTGAAGATATAGAGAAGCAGGCAAGAGATGAGGAAGAACTTGCCTCCTCAACTGCCCACCTTCTCCTGAGATCATCAGATCTAAGCAGAGCAACCTCATGTGATCATATTGGATATGATTTATATCTGTGACTGGATTACAGACCTTTAACTCCTTGTCTCACTTTGAGAGTCAATGGTTCCAAACAAAGCATTCTCTGGGGATTGAGGGGAGAAAATCAGTGGCTGGCAAGTTCTTGAGAGTGTTTGCCCGAAAGGTAGAATACGATCTCAGCTTTGCAAAATGATTGCCATTTGGAGGCAGATGACTTAGAGGGAATTTCTGGTTGACAAAACAGCAGGCACAAAAGAGTAAAGGTGGAAAGGAGAGTGGCCTGGGATGGGGGTCACAATGAAAAGATTCTAATGGAATGGAGAGTTTATAGCAATTAAGCCTGGGGGTCACAACTGGCCATATCCAATTATGTTTGGCCATCACATGGTTTAAAATAAAAATTGAACCTGAGGCACTTTTTGAGTGCATGTACCCTCCACTTACCTACTGACCCCGTCACTTCTTGTCTTGTATCCAGGACCACCACACAGTAACATTACCCAACTGATCCCCAAAATTCTTAGATCTTCCACCCCAACAATAAATTTTGATTTTATGGAAATTTATTTTCCTGAGACAAGTTTATGTACATATAAATTGAATACCTCTTGAATAGTATTACATGGTTAGTAATTTGGAACTTAAAGAAAAAATAATATAAATGATAAATTTGAGGTTTGGGTTGCAGCTAGAGGAAAGTTTCATTTGTATTTTTAGAAGTCCACACGTTAAGTGATAAATCTCATATTTGTCTGATTTGATAATCTGTTCCTATGGTTTGGGAGATGGATGTAACTGTTCCACAAACATGGACACAATTCTGAGCAGGGATATTAGGGCTCCATCAGGTCTGGTTAGGCCTATCCTGTTCCAAGTCACCAAACTAATCAGTTAAACAACTGGTTGGTTGGCCAAAGATTTCACTTTTCAGTCAATTGTCCTGGCATCAGAGACACATGCATTCCTAGAGTTTTACTCTCATCATTTAAAGTCAAGTTTTGCTGTCACACAAATACCTTATGCCTTTTACAAACATCCCTTCATTGGATTCTTACTATGTTCCTATCCATTCATTCATTAATAGATAGAGACCTACCAACAATAAACGGCCAACTCTTATGCTAGTTATAGGTGATCAGGATACAGCATAAATACAACTTACAACATCTATCAGGTGAGCAGGGAGATAATTTCATTCCAATTAAAAATGCATTTATTTCTTAAATCATTTTTATTACAGAAGTAAAATAGTAATGTATTTTCTGCCTTAAAGATTAAGGCTATGTAAAAGTATATAGAGTAAAAACCCTTTTACTTACATTTATATGCATTGCTATACAGATATAATTTTTAAATAAATACTATTATACACTATACATTTTCAGAAACTTCGTTTTTTAACTTAAAATGTCTTAGAGGTTTTTTCAGGCCATAAATTTTTTTAAAGCTCCAAAGTGTGCCATTGTTTGTATGTAGCACAGTATATTTAATCTTTCTTATAGACATTTTGACTATTTACATTTTTTTGTTATTACAATGATACAGTGTATAAATATCTTTGTTGATGTAAGCAAATATTTTGTAAGGTAGATTGCTAGAAGTACCTTCACTGGGCACATTTAAATTTTGGCTGATACTGGCAAAAAGATTCTTGAAAACATTGAACATATCTATAGCTATACACACACAAGATCTATAAAATACTATCTATTTCTTTATTGTTTCTAGGATTTGAATTTTATTTAGGAAGAGTATTAATATTCTAAAATTCTAAAATATGCTTCCAATGTTTTTGTAGTTTTTCTTAACATTGAGCTCTGTAATCCTTCTAGTTTCATTTTAGGAATGACGTGAATTAGGCATTTAACTTTTCTCCCAAAGGAATAGCCCATTGCCCCACACTATCTATTAAAACACCCAAACTGTTGCCTTTATATTGGAGGAACAATCTGGCTTGGGTTTCACATTCTTTCCCTCAGAAGTGAACATGTGCTGCCTTTCCATCTTCTGAAATTGAATGTCACTGTGGTCAAGTCGAAAGCCAACCTGATTATTTCTGCTCTTGTAAGTGACTTGAATTTTCTGCCTATGTGCTCCCATAATCCTTTCTTTAAGCTTGAAATTCAGTAACTTTTTCAGATTATCTTATGCTGTCGATGATTCCAAATGAAACTTTCCTGAAATCTAGTGGGTCCTTTATGTCTATCTATTTATTACATTGTTTCGGGAGAATATTGTTTTACACCATGTTCTTATGATATTTTTCCAAGTGTTTTCTTCTTCAAAACCATCCAACTATCTGTCATTCATTTCTGTCATATTCTCTGGAGTCATTATATCTTTGTTCTTTTCTACTTTGTTTTGTGTTATTTCCCCAAATGCGTCTTCTATGTATTTAACAATATTTTCAGTGAAGTTCATTGTATTTTTGTGGCTTCTAGTGTCTTTTGTCTCTTTAGTGATTTTATTGATCTCTCCAACTTTTTCCCTGAGTATTGCCAGCACACTTTTAATCTCCCTTAATTATTTTATATCTCTTCTATAAAATTTTGAACTTTGCTCTGAACATTTTTGTTTGCTTGATACTTAGGAGCATTTGCTTGATGTTTATTGCTTCACACACACACACATATAGAGACAGAGAGATCCATATTTTCTGCAAGTCCTTCAGAATAATGGAGAACTCTTTGTCTACAATTTTTCTGAAATACTTTGATGTATTTGTTTGGGGATTGTGGGCTCTTCTTTGGCTTAAATTCCCTCCATTATTTATAAAAAATTACTTTGCAGTTTTAATGAATATATATTACTCCCTCCTTTTTGATTATAACTCATCTTTTTAAAAGCCTGACTATTATTTAAATAATTAAATAATAGTACAGGGAAAGGGGTGAAATAGGGTAGAGTAAGCTGAGGCTCACTGCTGTTTTAATTTGGGTTTTGTCCTGGTTATCTAGTGTTGCAGAGCAAACCACCCCACAACTGAGTGACTTAAAATAACAATCAGTTATTTTGTTCACATTTCTGCAAATTGGGCAGGGTGCAGTAGGTCCAGCTCATTTCTGCTCCACGTGGTATCAGCTGGGGCAGCTTGAATGGGGTTGCAGGATCCACTTCAAAGATGGATCGCCCACATGTCTGGCAAGTCTTGCTGGCTGTCGCTCCCTCTCCAGGTGGAACTCTCCACAGACTGATTTGGCTTCCTCACAGCAAGGTGGCTGGGTTCCAAGAGTAAGTTCTCTAAGCGAGAGGAGGTGGAAGCTGCTAGTTACTAAAGGCCTGGACCTGGAAACTGGGACAGCATCCCTTCTGTATTCTTTACACTGAAGGTGGGGCATAGACCCATTTCTGGATAGGAGTGTCAATGAATTTGGGGGCTATGTTTTAAAACTGCCACTGGCTGTCTCAAGCATCTGTCACCAAATCTGTTATTTCTTTGCTATTGGGAATACATCTTTTTGTAGTTTATGGCATTCAAATTGAGGTGGCACAGAGAAAAACCCCCGAAGTTGCGGATGAATTATGTTTTAATTTGAAAACTTCTCCTTTTCTTCCATACAAATAGCCTCCAGCAGAGTCCTTGGCTAGGAAACCAGAATGTGTCAGCATGATTTCTATTTGGCTGCTGTTTTGAGGGGTCAGACTATTTTCCCCATTTTCCCCTGACCCATCTACCTGATCTTAACTGTGCTCTAAACAGCAGAATATTGGATGCTCCTTTCAGTAGTATGATGTGCTATCAGGTCCGAGAGAAACAGACTTGGCTCAGCATCTTACCATCTCTTGTTTAAGATTTCACATTATTCAGCGGCAATACTTCATACTTAAATATTTCATAGTTTATAGTTTGGAGTTGTGAATACTTTCCTGTTTCAACGGCTATTTTTTTTCTATTTTTCAGTGTTTTTCTTAGTTTTAGTTTGTTTTCAGGGAGTCTAGTAGAATAAAACTATTTTATCCTGCTGTCTTAAGCAGAAGCTCCACATGATCTGTAGAATAGGCTTAAAAATATATGTTGTGGTTTTAGAAGTGAGTTTACATTGAAGATATAGTTTACTTGTGGGAGAATTGGCTTTTGAATCTTGTCATCCTGTCTCATAGCAGCTCTCCTTATTGTTTGTGGTGTCTTTTTGGTCCTTTACTAAAGTTAAAATTTTTCTTCTCAGATATCTTGTACATTTATTATTTAATGTTATTCTAATTATGTTAGATTTTTAAGATGCTATTATGAATAAAACTGTTTTCCATTACATGTTATCATTAATTGTTGCTGAAGTCCTGGAAAGCTACTGACTTTTGTCTGTCAATCATCTGTCTAGCCAGATTTCCGATTTCTCTAATATTTTGCCATTTAAGTCTCTTGTATTTTCTAAGTAGACAATCATATCCGCTCATCTATTAAGTATTTTATTTTGATTTTCCCAGTTTTAAATTTTTTAATATTTTTATAGATTTAGGGGGTACAGGGGCAGATTTATTACATGTGTATATTGCATAGCTGTGAAGCCTGGGCTTTTAGTGTATCCATCACCCAAATGGTGAACATTGTACCTAATAGGTAATTTTTCAGCCTCATTACCTTCCACCCTTCCACCTTTTGGAGTCTCTAATGTTTATTACTCCACTCTTTATGTCCACGTGTACCCATTATTTAGCTCCCATTTATAAGTGAGAATAAACAGAAGTGCAAAGCACTGGGGAATGAGATAATCTCCTGAGACTTCTACTTCCCCATCTCTGCAGGAGACAGTGAGCCTGACAACATGCAGAGTACACCACTACTAAAACCTACAAACAAGCAGCATTTGAGCAAGCCACTACACTAAGGCTATCTATAACCAAGGAATTCATACGGAGCCTTAGCCCCCACCCCAAGATCACAAATTAGCAAAGCCAAATGACCCTACCCAACATATGCAACAGTCACACTTTCAAGGGGAAAAATAAAGTCCCATTAAAATGAATGTAAATTCAAAAATAAGAAGTGACAGTTTCTCCAGATGAGAAGGAACCAACCAATTCTGTCACCATGAAAAAACAGTGTTGTAACACCCCTCAAGGATCACACTAGCTCTCTAGTGATGGATCTTATCCAAAATGAAAATTCTAAAATGACAGATAAAGAATTCAAAATATGGATCATAAGGGAGTTCAACGAGATCCAAGGGGAAGTTGAAAACCAATACAAAGAAATCTGAAAAACAATTCAAGATATGAATGAAAAATTTACTACAGAGATAGATATTTAAAGAAAGCACAAAACTCTGGAAATGAAAAATTTACAGATGGAATTACAAAATACAGTTGAAAGCTTTAACAATAGATTAGACAAAGCAGAAAAATTTCAAAGCTTGACTACATATCTTTTAAATTAACCCATTCAGACAAAAATAAAGCAAAAAGAATGTAAAAACTGAACAAAGGCTTTGATAAATATGGATTTTCCTATTTTGAATTTCTATGATTTATATTTCAAATTTCAGCTTATCCCTGTTTTGTAGATATAATAGCCATTTATATACACCTTAGTAAGTATATATGCTTTGGGCTTTAGTTTTCTATAATGTTGTTTCCCCTTAAAGTTGATCTTATTTGCTTTTATAATCTATAGCTTTAGCGTAACTGACATCTAAAATCTCAACAGGTTTTTATTTTTTAAAGGTGAGAATAGATATGTATACTAAAGTTGCCATCTTGATGAAATGAGAAAACCAACTTAAAGAGGTTGACTGACTTGCTCATTGGTATAAAACTAGTAAATAATAAAGTCAGAATCCAGACTGCCAACCCAACCTTTACTTCTCCATGGAGAAGTAAAACACATACTTTCCACATCTGAGGTTATGTTCTAAGATTAAAGTTTTTCCATGAAAACTTGTATTAGAATTACTAATGAAAAGAAAGCCAACTGCATACATGCATATATTTTTCTACTTTTCCTAACTTTTTCTTATAAGTTATGCTAATGAAAAGGCTAAAAGTGAACAGCTATAAGAACAATAAACAATATCTGAAAATTTAAATAGTCAACTGTTACATAAGTAAGAATTAACTCTGCCAAGAAGTTTTTCTGAGTTCCATAAAAAGCAAAGTAGGCGGGTGAGAATGGGAATGGGGGGTAAAAATGAAAAAGGATAAACCTCAAAACACATTAGGGTAAGAATTTAATTTAATGGCCCAAAATATAGCATGCTCACCTTAATGTCATTAGATCAAATTTGACCATTTAACTGCCATTCTGAAAATAAGCCATTTGGCACAGACTTTAGAATTTGACTTTCATATATCCAATTTGAATTAATTGCCTTTAGAAAAAACAGATGAAACTACATCATGATTCTGATATTGCAGGATAATGCCAGGAAGAGGGGAGTCTAAATTCTATGTGAGTTATTTCATCTAATAATTTAGTGGGCATTCACTCTAACTTTTGAAATGAGAAACTCTTGCTGTGAATCCATGAAGAACTTCTAAATGGTGAAAGAATTTCCTCCTTTTTCCTTCAATACTGCCTGCCATTCTGGCAACGGGAAAAGTGATATATTTGAGGACCCCTGGGGCAGGAAAATTGATAAGAGCTCCTGACTTCTTTCCCATAAACAACCAATATTTTAAAGCTATTAACAAGGGAGCTAGGCATTCAAAGACAGTTCATTTATCTTCCAATAGCTGGCAAGGGTGTCAGGCCCTGCAGTCAGGCACAGAAAAATGGGCCCTGAATTCACCCTCTATTGCTGAACAGCTGCTCTTTCCCAAGGTTTTAATCAGATTCCCTAAGCATCCCATGCCCCAGTAAGGCAGAGCCCACATAAAACTGGCAATAAGCCTGTCTTGTAAATTCATTACAAAGCTCAAGTAATATGAGCAGATTATATTCTCCAGGCCAAGAGAGAGCTTTTAATTTAGACCAAAATTATTATTGCATATTGATTTGGCCCCTTGTTCTCTGGAAAGTTTTTTCTTAGAAAAAATCCAGACTTGGTCACCTGAAATAAAAGACATTTTCTTGGTTGTTCAGAATGAGAAGTCAGGTTTAAGTGTATTAGAAAGAAAATATGTCTTTGGATGAAAAATTCTTAATTCAGAGCCCCAAAACTATTTATAGAGTTTTGTCTTTTTGTTTAGCTGCACCTACCCTCCACCCCCTGAAGTGAGAGCCATAGCTTCCTTTAACTCTTGACTTCTGACCCAAAAGCTTAGTATGCAGTATTTTAGATTATGTTATTAGAAGCGAGTGTGGCAACCTTTGGAAATCTTTCCTTGCATGAGGCAGAAGTCAAGATTGGTTCTTCTCATAGACAGCCTGATGCCTAGCTATCAACTACTATCTGTTAGTAGGCACTAGCATGGGCATTCATGCCTCTGGTTACAACAGAGGGAATGAGAGGGAATCACTATCAACCCCTGACCAGATATTAAAGGACATTAGAGACAAATGACACTGATGCATCATGACAAAAGTATACTGTATCAATTAGAAAAAGGATTGGGTAGTCATAAAAGAATCACAGAATCAAACACTGCTAGTCTTCTTCCCAGCTTTGTGTAGTACTGAGAGGGCCAAATTTTATCATCTTACTAAAAGTGAGCAGTTTTTAATTATCCTGAATGTTGGTATGGATTTAGGAGGTCATTACCAAGCACTTCAAAATTTCAAAGACCCATTGGATAAACAACAGCTTTTGTGTGAAGGATGAGGATAAACATTTGACAACCTTCATCTGTCCCTGTGTTTACCATACAACCCTCTGATATTATTTGCTTTCATATGCAGGCCTGCCTATGGGAAAGGCTGCTTTTATCATATGGTGTTTGGGGTGCTTGAAATCCCGATGACAGTAATTTTCTGTGGTGAATTAATAAAGTGGATGCTGATTATAATTCATCTTCTTAAGTACCTTGACAATAGAAAGAAAATGAAATGACCATACCAGCATGGATATTCTGGTCCCTGGGTCAGTAATTCCTTTCTTTTTTTTTCTTTTTTTTTTTTTTTTTTTTGAGATGGAGTCTCACTCTGTCACCCAGGCTGGAGTGCAGTGGCGCAATCTTGGCTCACTGCAAGCTCCACCTCCCGGGTTCAAGCCATTCTCCTGCCTCAGCCTCCCAGTTAGCTGGGACTACAGGCACCGGCCACCACGCCCGGCTAATTTTTTGTATTTTTAGTAGAGACGCAGTTTCACTGTGTTAGCCAGGACAGTCTCAATTTCCTGACCTTGTGATCCACCCGCCTTGGCTTCCCAAAGTGCTGGGATTACAGGCGTGAGCCACCGTGCGCAACCTTGTAATTTCTTAGTTTATTATGTTAGCACCTTGGTTCCACTTCTGCCTCATGTGTACTGTATTTAGTGCAAGTCATTCTCTTAGAACATGGCTGGCTATATTGGGCCCAGACTAGAAACCATCACTGGGCACTCTAAACTAGAGAGATAACATTTCAAACAAGGGGATAAAATGAATGAGGAGCTACTATGACTGAGTGATGATATATAGCAGAAGACAGAACTACCTCCTCCAACTTTCTCTCAAAACTGGTTTTAGGCCGGGCATGGTGGCTCACAACTGTAATCCCAGCACTTTGGGAGGCCAAGGCGGGACAATTGCTTGAGCCTAGGAATTCCAGACCAGCCTAAGCAACATGGTGAAACCCAGTCTTTACAAAAAATACAAAAATTAGCCTGGTGTGGTCTGTGGTCCCAGCTACTCAGGAGGCTGAGGTGGGAGGATCCCTTGAACCTGGGAGGTGTAGGTTGCAGTGAGCCGAGATCGTGCCACTGCATTACAGCCTGGGCAACAGAGTGAGACCTTGTCTCAAAAACAAAACAAAACAAAATAAAACTGATTTGTTGCCTAGAAAAATCATCTCAAAGTCATCTGTGCACATAAAGAAAGATTTTTAGAGCATCTCCATTACACAGCATAACAACAGCTGACATGGCAGAAAATGTCCCTTGTGTACCACCCACAGAGATAACTTCTCCCCAGAAACTGGAGAGAACTGAACAGGTGGATTCCTAGGTGGGTTGTAAATCTGACAATATGAGAACACGAGGATGTCAGAACAGAGTAAGAGAAACTAGGAAGACAAAGTGAAAGATGAAGGAGAGCTTCCAGAGAGAACATGACATGTCCACAATTGGAAACACCAAAGCCACAAAGAAGAGAGCCTAAAATTCTGGAGAGAAAAATGGAGGGGCCCCATGGAAGATACTTTACCAGTTTCCTAATAAATAGGTATTTTTTGCACAGTCTGAAATTGTTAAGGGCTACCTACAGTGTCATAGCAGATATAAATTGATTTCAGCATTTCCTTACCAAATTAAAAAGAATTATCTGTTGTCACAGTCTTTTTTTTTTTTTTTTTTTTTTTTGAGACAGAGTCTTGCTCTGTTGCCTAGGCAACAGAGTGCAGTGGCGCAATCTTGACTCACTGCAAGCTCTGCCTCCCGGGTTCATGCCATTATCCTGCTTCAGCCTCCCAAGTAGCTGGGACTACAGGTGCCTGCCACCATGCCCAGCTAATTTTTTGTATTTTTAGTAGAGACAGGGTTTCACCATGTTAGCCAGGATGGTCTCGATCTCCTGACCTCGTGATCCGCCAGCCTTGGCCTCCCAAAGTGCTGGGATTACAGGCGTGAGCCACTGTGCCCGGCCTGTTGTCGCAGTCTTTTGCATCATTTTGAGAAGCATTCTGGTGAAGGTAGCTATTGGAGTGAAAATTGCATTGCTCTAATAAACAGGTCTTTTGCTGTGTCTCCACTTTTCCCCCACTTTCTCTATACACATTATTTCTCCCTCTATGACCTTTCAGTGTCCCGTCTTTGAATATTGTAGTGGATTATGAGTAATTGTTTCTAACTTATTTTGCCCGCCACTCCCATTAACTATCATCACTATTATTGTCATAGTCATGCCTTATTAGATTTATGAATGTTTCTACCAATTTCTCTGCTCAATTCTCCTTGTTTCTCCCTTATTCTGAGTTTAGTTTCCTATTTCTACTCAATAATATTCTTCAGAAGTTCTATCATTGATGAGTGATGAAGTACCTGAAAATGTATTTAATCTTATTCTTAAATGACATTTTAGTTGAATTTAGAACCTGGGCTGTCAATGAATTTCCTGCAATACTTTGAACCTATTATTCCTCTATCCTCTAGCAGCTAAGCAGCTATTGTTGCCAATGAGAAAACTATTGCCATCCAAATTGTAAGTAAGTGTAAGTAATCCTTATTGGAAATAAACCATCTCTCCTCTCTGGTTGCTTTTAAAATTTCTTCTTTCTCTTTGATGATCTCACATTTCACAACAATAATCAATCAAATATTTTCTTTGTCTTGCTTCCTCAAATATCTTATAAAGCTGTTCCCCTCCTCTAGGTGGAGGCTTAACACTTGAGGCCTGGAGCTGCCTGATTCACAAATCTCTGTTGCTCAAATAGACTCTTTAAAATTAAAAACACAACAAAATAAACCTAAAACCTGCAATGTATTTGAATGTGAATTAGTGTTAATTTATCCAGCTCTAGACATAATGTGATGCTTCAATTTATCTCTTTAATTTTGGAAAATTATCAACCATTATCCCTTCAAAATATTGCCACAATTCAATTCTCTTTAGTTTCTCCTTTTGAAATTTTTATTGATGAATTCTGGATTTTTAAAAAGTGCTATCCTCCATATCTCTTAACTAGCCTTTCATATTTTTTATCTGTACTACATGCTGGGCCATTTGCCAACTTTATATTCTGTTTCATCGCTGGGTTTAATATGACATTTATGTCATTCCCTTTAGTTTTTAATGTCAATATTTGCACTTTTCATTTTGAAAAGTTCTTTTTTTCCTATTATACCATTCTTTTCTAATTTTTCCCCACTCCACTGTTTACCTCTTTAGTCTCTTTAGTGTGCTCATTTGATAATCTTTCTCATATTTTTGTAATTTTTGTTTAGTTCCTTAGGGTGCTTGTCCTTCTGATTTACTTTTGTTTTGCTTATCTCCTTTCTTTCCTTCCTTTGCTCAACATGGTGGAGTTATTCTTCTTGCGGCCTGTACATTTTTTATTGTGAGCTCATTTTCAGAAAAGATTCTGTTTTTTAAGTGGGATTTCTATGTACCTGGGATGTGAAAGTATCACCTCAGGGCAGTTTCAGTGTATTTGGAAATAGGAAGAGGGGATACGGCTGTGACAGTTGTTTCAATAGTCCTGAAAACTCTCCATGTTAATTTATTGGCTTACATTTCCTGTATCACAACTGCCCAGGCTAGGGATTTTGATTTCTCAAATTCCAGATAGATGGCAAGTTTCGTTGCTATTTCTTAAGGCTGCTCTACACAGTCTATGTGACTGAAGGAACACTTTGAAATTGCAGGCCCTATTCAAAGAGCTTTGCTCAAGTTGTATTACCATGAGTGAACCTTTAGACAGGGTTCTGATTTCCACATGGAAATGGGATTCCAGCTCCAAAACCTCTGGGCAGTATATGCCATATAAAATCACATGGCCACTGACAGTGGCAGCTTCCCACTCTTGCTGTGATTTTTCTCTTGTTTCTCACACTTGGAGAATTTCCTTTTCTCTCCTTCAAAATCAACTCTACATTTAGTAATGTTCGCTTTTTAAAATAAAGCCTTTCTTTGAGTTTTTAGTGCATAGGACCTATCATTTTAATCCACCATGTTCTGAACATTCTAGGATCATGAAATATGGTTGTTATTATTCTTACTTGTCCTCCAACCACTTTCTTCCAATAATGGATTCCATGTCACTGGTCACAGGGATGGGAATGTGACTCAGATCTGACCAGTGACCTTGTTTAATTCCCTTCGAGTATTATGTGATTGGCTTATGGGTGATCTTCTGATACAAGCAGAGGCAAACAGAGTCTTTGTGACTGATATGCAAATATTGGGAGAATGAAATGTTATTTTGAGCTAAAAAAAAAAAAAAGTAAGCCTGGAGATGCCATTAGTCACCTTCTCCTGCTTTCTAGAGTAAGCTATCTATCTGCACCATGAAAGAATGAGGCTAGCACTCAGAGACAATCGGGGCCAAGAGAGAAAAAGAACAGATAGACAGCCATGTTTGAAGTCTTAAGCCTGGCATGTCCAGAGTCAGCTCAATCCCTGTTAAACAGGCCAGTGGACAAATTTTGCTGAAGCTAATTTGAATTGGGTTTCTATCACTTTCATCACTTGCATCTGACTTATATACCAATAAATTAAAGTACATTGGAACTGAGATAAGAAACCATCCACATGGATTTCTTTTATTTATTTTTGGTAGGCCAATTTGTCACGCATGACTTGACACGAGCAAAGCAAGTTCTAAGTTACGGGGTAGAGTTCTGGAGACGCTGCCAGTGAATGTCAGATCTCATCCGTGAGACAAAAGACAGAGTCACAGAATATAATCAAGGTCAAGTCCCAGTAATCTGAACAGGGACATTAAGAGGTAGGGTAGGGGAGATGCCAGAGTCAGGAACCAGGGAACAGGAATGAGAGAAAAACAAACAAGACAGCAGCAGCAGGCAGGGGTGTGGGCAGCACACCGAGCACACAACTTAAAGCTGGAATTCAGCTGAGCACTGCTTCCCAGCCTCTGTTTAAAGATCCCAGGGTGGCCTTGCCATTCCTGCCATGTGATGCCACCTGGTGTCTGAAAAATGAAGTCAGCATGAAATTGACTCCCAAGACAAGGAGTCCTTAAGCAAAAACAGCCATAACTTTTTTTTTTTTTAATTATGTATCACCCCAGTATCTAGACAGGCATCAAAATAAATGAGTTTCATGCTGATTATCAGTTTTCAAGGCAAATATCAAAGTGAATTACCTTCAGAAAGATGTGTCAAGATATAAGAAACTTGTTCTTAAGTTAAGCAGATTCATGAGAAATATACCTCTGGTTGTGATAACAGTTTCAGTTAATTCTGATCAAAAGGGGACAGCTTCTTATCACCTCTGTGTTTACAACTATGGGTCAAATTGGAGGAGCACTAATGAGGGTTTCTAACAAGGCTTTTCAAATAGTTGGAAGAAGCAGAATGAACATGAAATATCTATCTCTGGAAGAGGTTTTAATGATTAGTATTATAAAACGTCTCCCCATCTGCTTCTGAAGGGGTCTATGAACTCATTCATTCAGTAGTTATTGGAGAACCTACCAAATAATTGCCTATGTGTTGTGAGGGATGGAGAAAATTTGCCTTTAAGGAACTCGAAATCTACTTCAAGATGACGTTACCAAGAGAAAAAATGGAATTATTTTAGGAATATATTTTTATAACCAAACCCTATACATGTAAGCTATTTTCTGAAATGGTTTCTAGGGTGAGGTTTTGTTACGCATATTAAATCCCTTTATAGATATTGTTTGCCTACTTCAGTGAGGAGTTATTGAGGGCCGAGATGAGTGGCTATGCCCATCCAGTCTTTGTCACCAACACTTGGCATAATGTCTGGCACATACTGATCCTCAGTACATTTCTCTTGAACGGTTGGATGATAGTTCAAGGTTCCCCTCAGTTCCACGGTTGCTTGAGTCTTATAGCCATCCAATTACCTTCCATATTAAATTTCCCTCAAGATACATGGGCGGTAAGAAATGTAGTCTTTCAAAATGCCACTCAAAGTGCCAAGCGTTCACTGGTATCACACTTTAAATGACATTATCTAGCAAGAACTTCTCTGCAGCATAACAGTCTCATTTAAAAAGACAAAATTGGTGCTCCATTTCTTCATCTTTTTAAATAATTGATGACATCGAATTTCCTTATAAGCATTTACTTAACAGGGAATAAAGACATCTAGTATGTATTTATTGTCATCCAAGAGTCAGCTGTTTAATGAGATACTTATTTTATCTCTAAGAAAACCTGGAGGCATTTGCACACTGTGGAATTATTTTATGAGTAGGTTTCAGTACAACAATAGCAGTATTTCTGTTTTGCAGATAAATGGCCCAAAACAGCCAACATCTTCTTTCTCTTCTATCATGGGTAGCAAAAGAATTTCAGACTTCTACCTCTGTGCAATCTGCACTTAAATGAACATTGCCAATTATTAAGTATGTTAATGGGGATTTTTGGGACCAGAGTCTATCATAAGTAGTTTGCTCTATTTTGGTAAATATATGCAAGCCAAAAGAAAAAAATAAAAATCACTTGTGATTCCACATAACACTTCTGACTCCATGTAATTTATATATAAATAATACAAATGTTATATGTTATTTATATATACAGGTATAATAAAATATATAAAATTTAATAATATATAATTATATTCATATATAATACATATAATGTATGTTAGTATATATAATATATAATTTTAGGTGCATTTGCACATATAAATTTGGCTGTGAATTTTTAACCAAGCTAGATCTTATTATATATTAAATTTTCTTATTTGATAGTTATTAAATATAAATATTATATATTAAATTTCCTGTTTACTTAAAAATGTATTGTGAATATCTTTTCCCATCAATATATTTTTTCTTTATTATTTTTTAAATGACTTCATAGGGTTCCATGATATTAATATGCTATAATTCACTCAACCAACTAGTAACCATTGTGCACAACTTCTTGCTCAAATCAATGCATTCATCTCCATGGAGAGACTATTGCACATGCCCATAATTACTTCTTAGAATAAATTTCTAGAAACAAAATTGCTGGATCAAATGATTCACAAAATCTAATGGCTCAGTAAACACTGCCTTTGTAAAAGTTTTATCACTTTCCTTTTTCACCAATCATATAGGAGGGTTCTCAATTCCCAAACCCTGACTTACTCCAAGTATGATTATTCTTTTTTGAGTCCTGAAGATTTAAATATTTGCCAGGTAAAAATAATACTCCATTGTTGGTTTAATTTGTTTTACTTCATTATTAGTAAAGCTGATCTTATTTAGTATAGCTGTTGTCCATTTATGTTTCTTCTTTTGTTTATTAACTATTTATATCATTTGTCCATTTTTCTATTATGCTTACCTTTTATTATTGGTCTTTGATGATAGGAGTAACAGCAACAGCTAACATTTAATGTGTATTGAGCATGACCCACCAGGCCCTGATTTAGGTGTTTTATGTTTAATCCCATCCTGTGAGGTAAGTGCTATTACTGTCTATTTTACAAATGAGTCTGCCAAGGCGCAGGGGGATTGAGTAACTTGCCCAAGGTAACGTAAATAATGAATTAGGTATAGTGATGAGATTAACAATTTATCATGTATATTACAAAGACTATTAACTGATCAACACATGTGTTGAAAATGCTTCCCTTGGTTTATCATTCGTCATTTAATTTTTTTGTAGTGGGTTTTTGCCTGCTAGGATTGCTTGACTCTATTGCCATCAAACAAATGGGCTTTTATTTTATAGTTTCTGCTTTTGATATCTTGATCACCTGAAGAAGAATACATAAGTAAATATAATTCAAACACATTAAAAACATTCAGACTGCATAGAAGAGTATAAAATAAAGAGTTAAATTATTTTTCATCCTTTGCCTATATCGTGATCCTACACAGCAAAGGTATCTGATTTTAACCATTTATGTCTTTATTTTTTCTGATTGTTATTCTATGACTCCTAAGAATACGCATATATTTTCATTTCTTGACTTAGCAACTCCACATAGCATCTGTTCGTTTCCTAGTATGCCAGATGCAGAATTTTAGTTAGCTTCTTCCTTCCTTTTTTTCTTCTTTTTTCTGCTTAACTTCCACAAGTAATATCAGTTTTGGTTGTGAGCACCTTTATAACTTTAAGTAACATATTAATACTTCAACCTCTATTTTTTGATTTATCAACTTTAGACAGTATGTCTTAACTAAGTGATTCATTCCTAATAGAGGAAATCACGTGTAAAAATGGTTATTCTCTAAGTTTCCTGGATCATAAAATGCCATATTTATGAAGAAATGTTCACTAGAAGCAGACTTATCTTTAGTAATTTTAATAAAACCAGAGAGATCTCTGTAAGTAGAATGAAAGATATTGATATAAATAAGGGTAGAAATTATATTTATATTTATATAGCATAGGCTCTGTAGATTACAGGGCCTTTACAACCATATTACTTTATTTATTACTCAGAATAGTTTTGTAATGTATATAGAACAACTATTCTCACATTTTCTAGATCAAGAAATTAGCATAGGGAGTTTATGGCCATACAAAATCACTGTAGTGGTCATCTAGGTCAGCAGTCCCCAGACTTTTCGGCACCAGGGAACTGTTTCGTGGAAGGCGATTTTTCCACGGATTGGGGGAGGGGATGGCTTCGGGATGAAAGGCATTCCTCAGGCATTAGACGCTCATAGGGAGTGCGCAACCTAGATCCCTCACATGCGCAGTTCACAATAGGGTTTGCGCTGCTAGGAGAATCTAATGCCGCCGCTGATCTCACAGAGGCGGAGCTCAGGCAGTACTGCTCACTGGCCCATTGCTCACCTCCTGCTGTGTGGCCCAGTTCCTAACAGGCCACAGACCAGTGCCGGTCCACAGCCTGGGGGTTGAGGACCCCGATCTAGGTTTTGTTTTGTTGTGTTTCTATCCAGCATCCACTTTTCCATTATCATGGCAGTATTACCTGAGCAATAATTCTACCTTTCTCCAGTCTCAGCTCATGTGCTTCCAATGAAGCTGATTATATACCCTTGAACTCACGGAGCAGGTGACTTAGACCCGAACCAATACATGCTGTACCTTTTACTGACCATAGTGATTATTCCAAGATAAACTGCATCAGAATCTATGAAAGTTACTAAAATTTAGTCTGGGAATGGTGGAACAAAAATTCTTCGTCAAATCTCCCGAAGAGACAGCCCTGGGAAATGCTGGCAGCCATCTTGCAACCAGAAGAGGGCGCTAACCATGAAGTTGAGCGAAGAAAGATTCCTGTTCATTTCACTGGATCCTTGACTAAGCCATTTCTATTACCGGTGTTCAGTTACATCAGCTAATACAGATTCTCTTTTTGTTGACCTCAGTTTAGGTTGGTTTCCTGTCAACTGTAGTAATTGCACAGTTAATTAATGGCAATCTTGACACCAGATCTTCTGACTCTTAACCTAGACTTCTTTCTACTCTACCATGCTGCCTCTGAAATTAAGATTTTTGTTCAGGGTTCAAAAACACACACTCCTTGAGATCTCTTCCATATATCTTTTGCCTTCCTTCAATAGCCTATTAAATAACATTTAGAAATGCAAATCTATCATGTGGAATTCATTTGTGAGGCAGTATGCATACATGTTTGAGCATGACATTCCCTTTATGCTTGAAATAAGAGTATGGGTTAGGGACAAGCTAACTTCAAAACTTTTATGTTAAATAAAGTTATTTGCATTTTAGCACAAACAATTCTGGAACATTGTAAATCACAAGAGCGTGATATAGCACCCACCACCTGCTGCTACGTACAAGAGTTGTGGCCATCAAATTTAATTATGTTAGGTATCTGAAATTCAGAGCACATTTAACCTAAGCAACAGTATTATAATTAATAATAGGCTTCTTATATTAGCAAAGAAAAGCTGCTTTAATCTAAAATGTGGCTAAATACTAGAGCACAGTATTTCTACAATACTATTAAAAGTGTAAAAATACTAAAACTGAAAAAGTTGGTTCTTAAGCAAGGAGGTTTGCTGGCAGAAGATGGGAAGGTAAATAAAAGTATGTGGCTATTTCAGAGGGGCTCTGGGGGCTTGGCCAAGGGCTATAGTCATTAATAATTGGGTTGCACATCAAAATGGAAAACTTTTTTTTCCATAACACAAGAATAACTCTATCACTGTTCTTAAACTTCAAAACCACGCAAAGATGGAACTAAGAGAGGGACAACACAAAAGAGATTTTCATTTGTTCTTCTAAGACACACTTCAAGTACATAGAGTCTGCTTTCAAAAAGTTGCTATCTAGAAAGGCAAATATATATGTAAATCCAATGCTGTGCAGGGGTGAAGCAGAAGCTCAGCCCATGGGCTGGTGGTTCCCAAAGAAGGAGACTGAAGGAAGAGTTGAAAGACTTGATTAGGCAGAAACAGAAGCTGAAGAGGGCAACCCAGGAGGAGTGAGCTTTGTTCAAAGGCATCGAGATACCACTCAGAGAGTTGTGTCAGGGTGCTATACATGGTTTAGTGTGAAGAGAAAGAAAAATGGAGATGCAATGTTTGAACTTTTAGACTGAAAGCCATAGAAAACCTTTAAATGATATGCAAATATGGCTTTCCTAAGGGAACCAGGAAATGGTTGGCAGAGAGTGTGTGGAGATAAGGCATTGCAAGGAGAGGAAATACGTGTGTGTAAATAGATGTACAAAGAGAATAGTATGTGTGCTATAAATTAAGTTTAAGAAGCAAATAAGCAAGTGAGAATAAGTGAAGAGAATGGCACATGGAAATGTGCAAAAAGGAGGAAATGGTGAGCAGCAGACAGCACTGGTAGACAGCCTGGACCAGGACATGGCAGAGCTATGGACCACTCAGCAGAGCTCATGGAAGGAAAGAGCTGGTATTTGAATATGTAAGCTTTGGAAGTCAAATGTTTTTACTTACGATTACCCTTTATTTTACATTGGAGCTCACTGGGATCACTGTACGATACCAGAATTGCCGAAGCTGAGGAGCACAAGATTTCAGCTAGAATGGCAACATCTCATTCCTAGAAAGGAAGAGCTCTTGCCATGGTGTGAAACACATCTTCTTTTATTAAGACATTATGAAGACATGGGTAGAGAGGTAGGAGAGGCATCTGCAATACCAACCATATATTGACATGAGGAGATACTACATGGACTATTTCAAATGCTCCCAGGTTGGTGCTCAACAGCATCAACATTTATTCTTAGAGTCTGCATTTTTAATGGAAAACTACTGTGAATGGTGGTCCTGAAAGCAGAAAGGCCAAACCTTTCCTGGTTGTGTCGGCATGATTCTTTCCCAAGCTCATTTGCACTTTAGTGGTTTTGCTTTGCTTGGCCTTTTCCAACTTGGCAGCTCAGGAAGTAAAAATGAGGAACTCAGCAGATTTTTAAAGAGTTTTACTCCAAATGTTCTTTTAATGCTAGTATTTCTTGGACAGGGATTCCTGATGTCCTAATTAATTGTTCTTGGTGTTTCTTTAAAAGCATCCTTTAGCATTTGTGAATCTGCCCATGGCTTTTGCTCTTAATTTGCACTCACTGATATTTTCCTTTAAAGCAGGAAAGACACTTCTCTGTGGCCAGGTGAAATATAAGTATATTTGGAGACACACTTGAAAATTGTTGAATTCACTGTCAACTTTGGGGCAGCAGCCTTAAGAAATGTCAACTGGCAAAAAGAAAGAAAAAAAAGAGTAGTGCTGCTCTGTCATTTCTTACTCCCCTCTGTGAGATCTGACTTTAACAATCTTTTGTTACTTCACAATACATTTTAAACTGCATTTGAAGTAATTAACACCCAGAATAGAATCTTTTTGTCACATTGAATTATCAGATATTGACTTTCCTTTGGGATATCTGACAGTTGCCCAAAATGTTGGTCTTAATCTAAAACCAAGAAGAGACCTCTGACATAGTGAAAGCCACTGAAGTGGCATTTATTAAATATAAATGGTAAGTGTCTAAAGGGGAGGTAAGGAAAGAGCACTGGCTCTCATCCCCCCACCCTAATATCCTTCCAGCGCAAAGGGAAATTGCACTGGTGCTGAGCTGAAGCTCCATCAGTTTCATCCGTCATGTGATGTTTTAAAGATGTATGCATTCCTATACAGCATTACCTTTGCATTGAGAAATAAAGAGTATTCTGACCCTTAGGTTCTGGCTCCAATCTGCCAATCTGCCCATAAATACAAGGGTTTCTATTAGACTATTATCTGGAAAGTGACTTATATAAGGCGAAAAATTAAATGATATTGATTTGAAATGAAAAAAGCTCATTTATGTGCATTTTAGGAACCTAAGTGAATCAGCTAAATATATGCACTGAGAAAAATAAGTTACCCTCTAGGTAGTATCTTGTAATAAGCTGGAAACATAAAACCCATTAATAGTATTAGAAATTAGATGCCTAATGAATTGTGCCCATTATGGAAATTTTCTGTGATAACAATTCCTTGAAAAAAGCTAGAGACTGCCCGTATCTCTGTGACATAAGAGAAAAGATACAAGTGAAAGCATATTTCACATGATTAAAGAAACATAGGCCAAGTTCTGGTACTTACTATGTAAGGACTATGGCCACTGCATCATTCAACACACTCTCTCCAAACAAGAGTGTGTACAGGTCAGGGTCGACGTGCAGTTCATGGAAAATGGCCAGCACTGTCACTAGGAAGACACACACAAACATGCAGGTTAGCTTGGATGCAGGCATGGAGTTTTCCTTGGCTATGGTCACCACTCAAAAACATTAATGAAATGCTCATCTTCTCAAATCCAATGACTATACTAACACCAGACCTTTATTCAAAAAATATCTGATGCTTAAGAGGCTTCTCTTGGCTCCCTACTGCTTAAAGATAAAATTTGAGCTCCAAAGTACAAGTACCCTACAATCTGCACCTTGCTTACCTTCTAGCCTCATCTCCCTCTGCCCCCTTTGCTGCCTTTCTCAAGTCACACTGAACTTGCCATAATTTCCCAAACACACTGTGTAGTTTCTTAACTACCTTTGCATTTTGATTCCTTCTACTATGGCAGCAATTCCTTCCTCGTCCACTTGCTACCATCCTTGTATTCCTTAAATACACACACACACACACACACACACACACACACACTTCTTGCTACCAAGGACTCATTTTTTTCATTCTTTAAGAACCTTTCAACTGTCCCCCTCCCAACCCTTCAACTGCCTCAGCAGAGGCCTGGCTCACTCCTTTCTGGATCCCAGCATTTGGATCAAATCACTGAACTTACCACAGAAAGGACTGGGAGCTCCCTGGAAATGGGGTTCATCTTTGGACACATGGTGTTAGACCATACTCAGTAACTGCTTGATGCATGAATGACTAAATGAATGAGTGAATGAATAAATGAATAAATGTTGTTGCAATGGCCTACTCCTGTGAAGGGAGACACGGTTCCACCTGAGTCTCATTCTGTCCTGAGATCACACTCACCCGTGAAGATGGACTCAATGATCTTAAGAACAGGACATGAGGATTTGTTTCTGGTTGCCTGCTGCATGGCCTGCTACTATATGCCATGTTCTTGTATTGAGCCTCTGTGAGTACATTAGGGCAGTCAATACTCACACACTGATTATCTGTGTTCATCAAAACTATTCAATATCTTGATATTTAAAACAGTTAAGCAGAGTGTGAACAGCAATCATTAGGAAAATGATCCATTGAATTAATTGCCAAGGGGGAAAGAGGGAGGTTGAAAATGATATTGATGGCAAATGTCTAAGGCAGAATGGGTATTTTTAATTCTGTTTTTCCTTTCCTATTTCATGGGTGGTGAGGTTAGTAACTGTGTTGTACAAAACAGTGCTACGAGGAAATAAAAGCAAGACAGACAAGTTGAATGTGAAGGTTTTATAAGTAGGATTAAGAAGTTTGGAGCTTGTTCTTTCATAATAGAGAGTCATGAAGGGTTTTAATAAGAGAGATGACACAATCTGAACTTTGGAAATAAAGCTCAGGCAGAAGAGCAGAGGGCAGAATGGACACATGGCTGGAGGCTTTCCCAATAATTTCAGGAAGAGATGAGTTGTACCAGGACAGGAAGAGGCCCGGATTCATGCTCCCAAACTCTTACATGTTCACTGTCCTGGGTTCTAATAGACCAATGACCACTGTGCTTTGTACTTCACAAATATACCTCACTGGTTTTCATCTTCTCTGTGTGCCACAAGCCCTTAGCACAGTGATGCGACATAGTAAGCCTTTAATGAGTGAACGAATAAGAGAGAACATCAAGGAAGATATAGCAGAGGTGACAGCACCCCAGAGATATTTGAGATGGAAAATTGGTGGGTGTTGGTGCTTGAGAGGCAGCAAGGAATGACTCTGGATTTTGATCTATTGTACAACATGTGACTATATTTAGTAGCAATGTATTGTACACTTGAAAATTGCTGAGAGAGCAGATTTTAAGTGTTCTAAGCACAATGACAAAAGCATGCGAGGTAATACATATATTAATAAGCCTGATTTAGCTATTCTGCAAGATATGCATATTTCAAAAAATTATGCTGTGTACATAATATATACAGTTCTTGTCAATTAAAAAGTGTTTTTAAAGAAGTTACTGCAAAATCCAAAAAAAGAAAGAAAATGCCATATGAATTGACATGACAATTGGCCAGATCCCATTTTATCAGGCATAGAATCAATTTTATTATTCTAGCTGAATAGGTCCTATTAATCATGATAGGTAAAATGGCAGAGATCTGCTTTTTACTAGCATGCAGCTGTTAACATTTGCCACAACTTTTAGACGTTGCAGTTGGTGGGAGGGAACAAGCAAACACTTCTGCTAAGTAATCTCTTTCTCCTTTTTGGATAGAGTTAAGACACTGCATCTACCCAAAACAAAAAAGTTACAATGGGGTTTGGTTAGCAACATTTTCCTTTGGCTAGGATCTTGTGGAATAAAAGTAACATTTTTTTTTAACTAGAACATTCTATCATGGCCTCTCTATTGTTAACTTTAGACTCTGTAGCTGTTCATTTGTATCATCAAGCTCTGAAGATGACTTGCAGCCCATCTCCACTTCCATGGAGGTTTCCTAGGCCCAGGAAAAGGAAGGTAAGGCCCTTACCCCACCTCCCCACTTATGGAGCCCCTCTGCCCTATGGGGAAGACTCTACACCTGTCTAACGAAAGCTTTGAGCTTTTAAGAGGAAAGGCTTTTAATTGAATATCCAGTTTTGTTCATAACTGCTCTGACATTCCCACAATTCCTTTTGAACAAAGAACTGAACTCTGTTTCATAAACGATGTCCCACACAAAAGAGAAAACTGTTACTTTGCACATTCTTGTCTACCCTGTGAAGAAATGGAATAGTTTTGAAATAAAGCTAGACAGTGTGTCCTACAAGAGGGAGTATTTTGCTGGGAACACAAATGAGTCAAATAGGTGAGTCAGGAAATTAGCCACCCACTCTGCTGCTGAGCTTGGAGCTTTTAAAAAACTCATTTAATTAGCTCCCTGGCAGGGCTCAATCTTACACGCAATGTCCAAGACTCTCTGCAGCACCTCCGCAGGAGAGAATCTTTGGGACAGCTGTGGACATGCACATACCAGCTCTGCCCACACCTTGCAAGGCTGGTAAAGATAACCTAGGTCCAAGGCAGGACTAAAAGTCAATGCCCATGTAAATGAGAGTTCTTGGGACCACAAGAGGAAAACACTCTGGACATCGTGTGGATAGGAAGGGGAAAAGATGCAATCCGATTTCTTAAACCTTTGATTTTATCAGACAATTTGGTCATTTTGTCTTTAACTTACTTTAGTTCCACTCATCTTTTAGTGGCAGATTTTCATGCTTCACTTGTGGCTTGGAGTTCCTTCTCCTCTACATACCCTCTTCTTACATGATGTTGTAGCTAGAGAAAAATTCACTTTGTCTTTCAAATTGATAATAAAAGATACAAGCACATATGATCTTATGCTCAAGGAGATGAACATGCACATGTACACACACACACACACACACACACACACACAAACACACCCCTACCTCTAGGTAAGCATAATAGAGGAATGTGATAACTGAGAAATGCCACTGAATCCTTGCAGATCTCTGAGAAAATAATTTCAGCCATCAAATGGTAAGGGTCTTTGAGCGGAATGAGTGAGGAGCCAGTGGTGTGGACTGCACTCTGAGAAGCTTTTGATAAAGGATGAAGAGAGAAAAAGCCATAACTTATGAGGTCTAAGTGAGGCTTTCTCTTAGACATCTAATTTATAGGTTGACAAGAATAAGCCAGAGGAAAGAGAGGCTGAAGACAGAGAGAAAGGATGAGAAAACTGCTGGAGCAAGGTCTGGAGAAGGCAGAAGAAAACTGAAGGGCAGAAGGGGAATGTGTCTTTTCAGGAAAGTAAGATCATCTGCTGAGAGTCAGGAGAGAAACACATGAGTTAGAGGCTACAGGAAGGTTGAAAATGTGCAGAATATCTTGGAGGCAGGTAATGCAAGTTTCATGAAAAACTGTTAGGGTCAAACATAGGATAATTCTCAGTCTGTAAGAGAAAAACTGTAACACTAAAATGATATAATATTTTGATTTTTTCATCATACCAAGGGTCTTTTCCCCTACAACTCTATTATAGCATCAAAACTAATCCTTTTTCATCTCAAAGATGATAACCACACCTAGTGATAAAAATACAGATCATGACTACATGACTCCATGAGTATCTCAATGTGTTTACTCTTAGATGTTTGACAATTTTTTTTAAACTGCTGTCTTTTCAGCTGACCACTTTCTTGATGCCCTTTCAGAACTTCCAAGTCTTTAGGGTGATTTAGTGACAGCCCCTTCCCTAGAATCTCCATTAGCAGCTCTATGACCCCTATTTTCTAAGTGTTTTACAAGGAATTTAAATTTCAAATGATATTTTAATGTGGCAGCTCTCAGCAACCTAGCACAAGATCTGCCTAGGTCGAAGGACAACAACATACAATAGTTCCTACCCCTGTCCTCCTACGTTGTCATTCAGCCTTGTCAAAATGCTGGCTCTCCCTTGGAGAGTGCTCTCTATGGTTTTCTGTGCAAATCACTATGTATGACACTTGTCCATGACACACAGAGAATCAAAAACATCTGAAGATTTTGCAGCTGAATCGGTGTCAGGCCTGACAGGTGTAGAACCTTGGTATTCTCATAAACGAGGTAGCATTTTTCCATTTCCAAAAAATGATTATTGTGAAAATGTATTTTCTTTTTCTAAGAAGGAGGATGGAGGAGGAAATTCTCCTGTAACTTTTCCCACTTTCCTGAAAAATTGTATACGGTGAGATCTGAAGGAGAGGCTTTCAAAAAAGTTGTGGTATCTGGGTGCAGGCTGAAATATGGGAATTATTTTGAGAATTATTAAATTCTCAGTGAAGACTTAGCAGCAAAATTGATGCATGGATTGATTTTGCCAGTCAAGCTCTGCCAGTCATAATCCTAGAATACAAGTGAAAAGACTAACCCTTCTGAGTTACATGAGAGAAACAATGCCAGATCTACAAAGCTAATGACTAGTCATTCAATTTGTTTAGGTCATTCTAAATTTTAAGTTACACAAAACATCATGAGGAATTTAGCCCTAAAACTTTGCAATTTTATTTTAACCATCAATATGCTATATCATTTTGGTACTGAGGTAATAGTGGAGAATATATGATATGCATGCACACACTTGTAGCCTTCCTCAAACAGGGTTCCTTGGGGAAAACAAGCTCTTATGCCCCAGAGCAATGTCTTCAAAGTGTGGCCCAGGGACCCCTGGAGGTTCCTGGGAACTATCCAGGAAGATCCTCAAGGTCAAAACTATTTTCACAATAACATGAAATATGTTACTTGCATTTTTTATTCTAATTCTTTCATTAGTGTACAGTGGAATTTTCCAGAGGCTACATGATGCAACAGATTGAATGCAGAAGCAAGATATGAGAATCCAGCTGTCTTCATTTGCACTACATGTTAAAGAGCTTTGCAGAAATGTGAAACAATGCCACTTTTCTAATTTTTTTGTTTTGGAAAATAAACTTTTGGTAAAAATATGTTATTTATATTAACATGTAAATGTTTTATGATTGTTATTTTAAATAAATTAATAAAAACATGTTTTAGAATTTGTTTTAATTTCTAATATGGTAAATTTTTTTATTTATTCATTTTATTTTTTGAGACTGAGTCTCGCTCTGTTGCCCAGGCTGGAGTGCAGTGGCGCAATCTCAGCTCACTGCAACCTCTGCCTCCCGGGCTCAAGTGATTCTCCTGCCTAAGCCTCCTGAATAGCTGGGACTACAGGTGCCTGCCACCATGCCTGGATAATTTTTGAATTTTTAGTAGAGATGGAGTTTCACCATCTTGGCCAGACTGGTCTTGAACTCCTGACCTCAAGGGATCTGCCCGCCTTGGCCTCCCAAAGTGCTGGGATTACAGCATGAGCCACTGTGCCTGGCCTCTAATATGTAAATATTGATAGATACACCTCACATAAGCAAAAACTCTTTGGAGTCTTTCCTAATTGCAAAAGGTTTTGATACCAAAAATCTTGAGAACCACTGCCCTAAGGCATTTGTTATATGTAATGAATTAACTTATTTCCTCTCTGTTGAGAATCATACTAGCTAAGCACATCCTTGAGAGAAATGAGAAAATATTCCCTCCAGTCATCTTCGGTAGAGCTTAATTCTCTTGTTGAGAAGGGCTCCTGAGATCTTAGTATCTTTTGCCATGCAATAACCAGCTGATTCTTTTGGTATACATGTAGGGGATTTCTAATAACTTTTAAATGAGGAAAATTATTCTTTTTACATTAACTCCACTGTCACATTTCTAGAGTCATATTTCTGTTGCTGATATTTATATTTGTTTAAGCCCTTTTTTTTGAAATGTAAGGCTTTGTGGGCAGAGATTTATTATGGGTGCATGATAAAAACACTGACAATCCCACCTCCATCCCTTTGACTTCAAACATGGCTGAGTGGTGTTTGAGAATAATCAATTGCCTTTTTTTGATTAAAAACCAGAAATACAATCCCTAGCAGTCACTGAGAGTAGAAAAAGGTAACCAGAAGGTCATGCAGTTTGGATTAAGAAAAGTAGGATATATTAAGACTGGAAAGGGAGAAACTGGAAAATCAATCCAGGTGGGGAATGTTTTCCAGGTCTTGTATCTGGGAACTTATGGACTGAAATCTGCTGGCACTTTACCTAGTGCCTTAAAATCTTCCCCAAGGGTACCTACATCAGAGATATTCTAAATTTAACATTAGCAAAGAACATAAACATTTAACAAAGATTCAATTTTCTCACCAGTGAGGTTTAATGAGCCATGGTGCCGTTTAATGGGGAATCTGTGCAACATGCCCAGTATCTGAGTGACGATGACTCACCCCTTCATACAAGCATTTTCCAATTAGGATTTTCACTTCAGCATTTTTCCTTTTTAAAAATGAAAATGGTGGGCAAGGGTTTATCTACAAATCATGAAAAAACATTAAAAAAGGCCTGTGGAGTAAAAAAGCAGCAGCCATAGTTAGGATGGGTCACCAAAAAAAATCAAACACCAAAAAAAATCAACACTTAGAGGTAAAAATATCACTGTGACCCATGACATGTAAGAACTGTGAGGAAAGAGACATGTTTAAAAGACAACTGTGTTAGTCATGATCATGGTACACACAAAATAAGAGGGCTTCCCAAACAAATGTTTCTCTTGCTACAAAAAGATATGAAACAAGCAGATATCTTGTACCATCACTTTCCAATCAGTGGATCAGGACACAAAGGGACATTACAGAACTGTTTCAAAGTGGAAGATGAACATTCCTGCTCCTTAAATAGATTAGAAAGTTGCCAAGGGTAAACAAGAGTAATATTGAGAAGAGTCAACACTGGGCCTGTGTGAGATACAGGGAAGAAAAAAAGATGGAAAGAGAGGGGTCATATCATAAATCCCCTATCCCTGTCATCACCCTGTGTGGTAAGCTGAAGAATGCCTCATCCTTGGAGCATATGAATATGTTGCCTTGCATGCCAAAAGGAGTTTTGCAGGTGTAATTAACGTTATTGATATAGTTTGGGTGTATCCCCACCCAAATCTCATCTTGAATTTTAGCTCCCATAATTCCCACATGTCATGGAAGGGACCCTGTGGGAGGTAATTAAATCATGAGGAGCTGGTCTTTCCTGTGCTGTTCTTGTGATAGTGAGCAAGTCTCACGAGCTCTGAGGGATTCATAAAGGGAAGTTCCGGTACACAAGCTCTCTCTTGCCTGCCACCGTGTAAGACGTAACTTTGCTCTTCATTTGCCTTCCACCATGATTGTGAGGCCTTCCCAGCCATGTGGAGCTGTGAGTCAATTAAACCTCTTTCCTTTAAACATTAGCTGGTCTTGGTTATATCTTTATCAGCAGCGTGAGAACAGACTAATACAGTTATGGATCTTAAAATAGGCAGATCATGTTACATTATGTGGGCAGGTCCAACCTAATCACTGGAGCTCTTAAAAGCAGAAAAATTTATTAGGCTATAGTCAGAGAGATGTAGCTGAAGAGACATGAAAGAAAGGGAAAGTTGGGAAGATCCCAAGTGTGAGAAGGATCCAACACACTGTTCTTGGCTCTGAGATGTAGGGGATCACTTGCAAGAGCCAGAGAGAGAAAAACCTCTTGGAGCCAAGCATGACCTCAACTTTCAGCCCCAAGGAAACAGAGACCTTGGTCTTCTGATGGGAAGAAACTGCATTCTGTCAACAACCTGAACCTAGAGCTTTCTGATGAGAATCTTACCAGTCAGTAGGTTGATTTTCACCTTGTGAGACTCTGATCTAAGAACCCAATTGAACCAACCTGGACTTCTGACCTATGGAACTGTGAGACAATATGTTTGTGCTGTCTTAATCCGCTAAGTTTGCGGTAATTTCTCATAGCAGTTCTAGCAAACAAATACACTCTGCTCCCCTCTTACAATAAGAACGACAAAACAGTGGGCAGACCAAGCTCCCATACATTTGGTTTTTCAATATATGAGTTAATGAGTGGAGATGTGGCTAGAATGTCCTCTTAGCTATAGCACAGCTCTCCCTCCCCTTATCCCACCACTGACAGGAAAGAAGTAAGTCACTTAAACAAACCCATGTTTTAGATTATGCTTAACAAGGAAAAACCTGGACCAATGACGAGGCTGTAGATTTTCAAATATGTGTGCCTATGAGGTCCTCTGTTGCTGATGTAATTTTCCATGTGTGTCCCTCTTGGTGCCATTGTCACACACCACAGATCACTCATTTACTCAGAATGCACCATTTTATAGCTCATCAAATCACTTTATTTGAAAGTTTTTACCATATCTGGGCTACATTGTTGAGTGCAATCACGGTGAAGAATTGGTGATGAGATGGGAATGGTGAAGTCCAAACTAGGATGGAAGGTTAACAAACCAGGCAAGCCAAGTCTGAGGGGAGCAAGCCAAAAGTCATAAAGCAGCTCTCACCATAGAAGCAAACAATGGCCATTTTAATTTTCTTTTTGAGCTTTTTTGTATTTTCTAAAATTTCTACAATAAATGTGCACTATTTTTAGAATTAGAAAAGACAGCAACCTACTTATGAAACTGGTAAAACTTAACAAGAACATAAAGCATGGAACTCAGAGTCTCTTCCCCAAGGCCACGGATGCTGTCTGTGAGGACACAGCCTTCCTCAGGATTTCTCCCTGGGTTTCCACACTGCTCGACCCCACTGTGGCACCTGGCACTGTGAACCCTTCCTGTCTCTCCAAGTGCTCCCCTCCTTTGTTTTGAGGAGACTAGCCCCTTGTGATTTTCCTTCAACACCTCCAGATTTTCTTCACTCTCCTTTGTAAACCCATCCCTTTAATAGAGGTGTTGCCCAGGAAAACATCTCCAGTCCCCTTCTCACTCTGTAAACTTGACTTGAGTAATTTCATCAACATCTGGTGATGTCAATCTCTAGCCCATCCCTTCCTCTATTTTTAGTAGAGACAGGGTTTCCTTATGTTGGCCAGGCTGGTCTCGAACTCCTGACCTCAAATGATCCACCCACCTCAGCCTCCCAAAATGCTGGGATTACAGGTGTAAGCCACTGTGTCCGGCCTCCTCTTTCTCAGCTATAGACTCCCATATCCAACCATTGCCAAGACAACTCCTGTTGGAGTTGTTCTACTTGAAAAACTACTTATCGAGCACCTGCTGTGTATGTCTTACAGATTCCCTACCCACTAACTAGCCTCAGCAACTCTGCTGCTCTTGTTCTTGAATTACAATCTCAAGGAGTGGAACCATCACTGACCACAAACTTTATGTTTATATTTTTTAGTGGTGTGATTTATCTTAGTTACAATTGAAAAATCTCCAGCTTTAGAGAATATAATATTAAGAGGCAAGCCACATTTTGTAGTTCAGTGTCTTACAAGGTCAGGCAAGGAGAGAAAAAGAAACCAGTTTCAGAAATGTTCTATTGTACTAGATACTGCAGCATAAACTAGCGCTGTCATTTCTGAAATTTTAGCCCTACAGTAATCCCTTCTGGACTGAAAAATAATATACGAATGAAGAAGTTCAGTTGCAGATAAAATACGTATATGAAAGTAGCATTTTGAGATCGTTTCAAGATGGCCGAATAGGAATGGCTCCAGTCTACAGCTCCCAGCATGAGCGATGCAGAAGACAGGTGATTTCTGCATTTCCAACTGAGGTATTGGGTTCATCTCACTGGGACTTGTTGGACAGTGGGCGCAGCCCACAGAGTGTGAGCTGAAGCAGGGCGGGGCATCACCTCACCCGAGAAGTGCAAGGGGTCAGGGAATTCCCTTTCCTACCCAAGGGAAGCCATGAGACAGGGTACCTGGAAACTCAGGACACTCGTGCTCTAATACTGTGCTTTTCCAAAGGTCTTAGCAAACGGTACTCCAGGAGATTATATCCTATGCCTGTCTCGGTGGGTCCTACGCCCACGGAGCCTTGCTCACTGCTAGCACAGCAGTCCGAGATGAAATTGCGAGGTAGCAGCCAGGCTGGGGGAGGGGTGTCTGCCATTGCTGAGGCTTGACTAGGTAAACAAAGCAGCTGGGAAGCTCGAACTGGGTGAAGCCCACCACAGCTGAAGGAGGCCTGCATGCCTCTGTAGACTCCACCTCTGGGGGCAGGGCATAGCTGAACAAAAGTGAGCAGAAACTTCTGCAGACTTAAACGTCCCTGCCTGACAGTGGTTCTCCCAGCACAGAGTTTGAGATCTGAGAACTGAAAGACTGCCTCCTCAAGTGGGTCCCTGACCCCCAAGTAGCCTAACTGGGAGACACCTCCCAGTAGGGGCTGACTGACACCTCATACAGCCAGCTGCCCCTCTGAGACGAAGCTTCCAGAGGAAGGATCAGGTAGCAACTTTGGCTGTTCGGCAATATTTGCTGTTCTGCAGCCTCCTCTGGTGATACCCAGGCAAACAGGGTCTGCAGTGGACCTCCAGCAAACTCCAACAGACGTGCAGCTGAGGGTCCTGACTGTTAGAAGGAAAACTAGCAAACAGAAAGGAATAGCATCAACACCAACAAAAAGGACATCCACACAAAAACCCTATCTGTAGGTCCCCATCATCAAAGACCAAACATAGATAAAACCACAAAGATGGGGAGAAACAAGAGCAGAAAAGCTGAAATTTCTTAAAATCAGAGCACCTCTTCTCCTCCAAAGAATCGCAGCTTCTCGCCAACAACGGAACAAAGCTGGATGGAGAACGAATTCGACGAGTTGATAGAAGTAGGCTTCAGAAGATTGGTAATAACAAATTTCTCTGAGCTAAAGGTGGACGTTTGAACCCATCACGAAGAAGTTAAAAACCTTGAAAAAAGATTAGATGAATGGCTAACTAGAATAACCAGTGTAGAGAAGACCTTAAATGACCTGGTGGAGCTGCAAACCATGGCCCAAGAACTACGTGACGCATGCACAAGTTTCAGTAGCCGATTCCATCAAGTGGAAGAAAGGGTATCAGTGATGGAAGATCAAATTAATGACATGAAGTGAGAAGAGAAGTTTAGAGAAAAAAGAGTAAAAAGAAATGAACAAAGCCTCCAAGAAATACGGGAAACTCATATGGGATTATGTGAAAAGACTAAATCTACGTTTGATTGGTGTACCTGAAAGTGATGGGGAGAATGGAACCAACTTGGAAAACACTCTGCAGGATATTATCCAGGAGAACTTCCCCAGTCTAGCAAGGCAGGCCAACATTCAAATTCAGGAAATACAGAGAACGCCACAAAGATACTCCTTGAGAAGACCAACCCCGAGACACGTAATTGTCAGATTCACCAAGGTTGAAATGAAGGAAAAAATGTTAAGGGCAGCCAGAGAGAAAGGTCAGGTTGCCCACAAAGGGAATCCCAACAGACTAACAGCGGATCTCTCTGCAGAAACTCTACAAGCCAGAATAGAGTGGGGGCCAATATTCAACATTCTTAAAGAAAAGAATTTTCAACCCAGAATCTCATATCCAGCCACACCAAGCTTCATAAGTGAAGGAGAAATAAAATCCTTTCCAGACAAGCAAATGCTGAGAGGTTTTGTCACCACCAAGCCTGCCTTGCAAAACTCCTAAAGGAAGCAGTAAACATGGAAAGGAACAACCGGTACCAGCCACTGCAAAAACATGCCAAATTGTAAAGACCATCGATGCTAGGAAGAAACTGCATCAACTAATGGGCAAAATAACCAGCTAACATCATACTGACAGGACCAAATTCACACATAACAATATTAACCTGAAATGTAAATGGGCTAAATGCTCCAATTAAAAGACACAGACTGGCAAATTGGATAAAGAGTCAAGACCCATCAGTGTGCTGTATTCAGGAGACCCATCTCATGTGCAGAGACACACATAGGCTCAAAATAAAGGGATGGAGGAAGATCTACCAAGCAAATGGAAAACAAAACAAAACAAAGCAGGGGTTGCAATCCTAGTCTCTGATAAAACAGACTTTAAACCAACAAAGATCAAAAGAGACAAAGAAGGCCATTATGTAATTGTAAAGGGATCAATTCAAGAAGAAGAGCTAACTATCCTAAACATATATGCACCCAATACAGGGGCACCCAGCTTCATAAAGCAAGTCCTTAGAGACATACAAAGAGACTTAGACTCCCACACAATAATAATGGGAGACTTTAATACCCCACTGTTAACATTAGACAGATGAACAAGACAGAAAGTTAACAAGGATATCCAGGACTTGAACTCAGCTCTGCACCAAGTGGACCTAATAGACATCTACAGAACTCTCCACCCCAAATCAACAGAATATACATTCTTCTCAGCACCACATCACACTTATTCCAAAATTGACCACATAGGTGGAAGTAAAGCACTCCTCAGCAAATGTAAAAGAACAGAAATTATAACAAACTGTTTCTTAGACCATAGTGCAATCAAATTAGAACTCAGGATTAAGAAACTCACTCAAAACCGCTCAACTACATGGAAACTAAACAATCTGCTCCTGAATGACTATGGGGTAAATAAAGAAATGAAGGCAGAAATAAAGATGTTCTTTGAAATGAATGAGAACAAAGACACAACATACCAGAATCTCTGGGACACATTTAAAGCAGTGTGTAGAAGGAAATTTATAGCACTAAATGCCCACAAGAGAAAGCAGGAAAGATCTAAAATTGACACCCTAACATCACAATTAAAAGAACTAGAGAAGCAAGAGCAAGCATACTCAAAAGCTAGCAGAAGGCAATAAATAAAATCAGAGCAGAACTGAAGGAGATAGAGACACAAAAAACCCTTCAAAAAATCAATGAATCCAGGAGCTAGTTTTTTTTGAAAAGATCAACAAAATTGATAGATCACTAGCAAGACTAATAAAGAAGAAAAGAGAAGAATCAAATAGACACAATAAAAAATGATAAAGGGGATATCACCACCAATCCCACAGAAATACAAACTACCATCAGACAATACTATAAATACTTCTGTGCAAATAAACTAGAAAATTTAGAAGAAATGGATAAATTCCTGGACACATACACTCTCTCAAGACTAAACCAGGAAGAAGTTGAATCCATGAATAGACCAATAACAGGCTCTAAAATTGAGGCAATAATTAATAGCCTACCAACCAAAAAAGTCCGGGACCAGATGGATTCACAGACGAATTCTACCAGAGGTACAAAGAGGAGCTGGCACCATTCCTTCTGAAACTATTGCAATCAATAGAAAAAGACGGAATCCTTCCTAACTCATTTTATGAGGCCAGCATCATCCTGATACTGAAGCTTGGCAGAGACACGACTACAAAAAAAGAGACTTTTAGACCAATATCCCTGATGAACATTGATGCAAAAATCCTCAATGAAATACTGTCAAACTGAATCCAGCAGCACATCAAAAAGCTTATCCACCACGATCAAGTCAGCTTCATCCCTGGGATGCAAGGCTGGTCCAACATATGCAAAGCAATAAATGTAATCCATCATATAAACAGAACCAAAGACAAAAACCACATGATTATCTCAATAGATGCAGAAAAAGCCTTTGAAAAAATTCAACAGCCCTTCATGCTAAAAACTCTCAATAAACTAGGTATTGATGGGACATATCTCAAAATAATAAGAGCTATGTATGACAAACCCACAGCCAATATCATACTGAATCGGCAAAAACTGGAAGCATTCCCTCTGAAAACTGACACAAGACAGGGATGCCCTCTCTCACCACTCCTATTCAACATAGTGTTGGACGTTCTGGCAAAGGCAATCAGACAGGAGAAAGAAATAAAGGGTATTCAATTAGGAAAAGAGGAAATCAAATTGTCCCTGTTTGCAGATGACATGATTGTATATTTAGAAAACCCCATAGTCTCAGCATAAAATCTCCTTAAGCTGATAAGCAACTTCAGCAAAGTCTCAGGATACAAAATCAATGTGCAAAAATCACAAGCATTCTTATACACCAGTAACAGACAGAGAGCCAAAGCATGAGTGAACTCCCATTCACAACTGCTTCAAAGACAATAAAATACCTAGGAATCCAACTTACAAGGGATGTGAAGGACCTCTTCAAGGAGAAATACAAAACACTGCTCAACAAAATAAAAGAGGACACAAACAAATGGAAGAACATTCCATGCTCACGAATAGGAATCATCAATATCATGAAAATGGCCATACTGCCCAAGGTAATTTACAGATTCAATGCCATCCCCATCAAGCTACCAATGACTTTCTTCACAGAATTGGAAAAAACTACTTTAAAGTTCATATGGAACCAAAAAAGAGCCTGCATTGCCAAGACAATCCTAAGCCAAAAGAACAAAGCTGGAGGCATCATGCTACCTGACTTCAAACTATACTGCAAGGCTACAGTAACTAAAACAGCATGGTACTGGTACCAAAACAGAGATATAGACCAATGGAACAGAACAGAGCCCTCAGAAATAATACCACACATCTACAACCATCTGATCTTTGACAAACCTGACCAAAAAAGAAATGGGGAAAGGATTCCCTATTTAATAAAAGGTGCTGGGAAAACTGGCTAGCCATATGTAGAAAGCTGAAACTGGATCCCTTCCTTACACCTTATACAAAAATTAATTCAAGATGGATTAAAGACTTAAATGTTAGACTTAAAACCATAAAAACCCTCGAAGAAAACCTAGGCAATACCATTCAGGACATAGGCATGGGCAAGGACTTCATGTCTAAAACACCAAAAGCAATGGCAACAAAAGCCAAAATTGACAAATGGGATCTAATTAAACTAAAGAGCTTTTGCACAGCAAAAGAAACTACCATCAGAGTGAGCAGGCAACCTACAGAATGGGAGAAAATTTTTGCAATCTACCCATCTGACAAAGGGCTAATATCCAGAATCTACAAAGAACTTAAACAAATTTACAAGAAAAAAATCAAACAACCCCATGAAAAAGTGGGTGAATGATATGAACAGACACTTCTCAAAAGAAGACATTTATGCAGCCAAAAGACACATGAAAAAATGTTCATCATCACTGGCCATCAGAGAAATGTAAATCAAAACCACAATGAGAGAACATCTCATGCCAGTTATTATGGCGATCATTAAAAAGTCAGCAAACAACAGATGCCGGAGAGGATGTGGAGAAATAGGAACACTCTTACACTGTTGGTGGGAGTGTAAACTAGTTCAACCATTGTGGAAGACAATGTAGCGATTCCTCAAGGATCTAGAACCAGAAATACCATTTGACCCAGCAATCCCATTACTGGGTATATACCCAAAGGATTATAAATCATGCTGCCATAAAGACACATGCACACGTATGTTTATTGTGGCACTATTCACAATCGCAGACTTGGAACCAACCCAAATGTCCATCAATGATAGACTAGATTAAGGAAATGTGGCACATATACACCATGGAATTCTATGGAGCCATAAAAAAGGATGAGTTCATGTCCTTTGTAGGGACATGGATGAAGCTGGAAACCATCATTCTCAGCAAACTATCACAAGGACAGAAAACCAAACACCGCATGCTCTCACTCGTAGGTGGGAACTAAACAATGAGAACACTTGGACACAGGGTGGGGAACATCACACCCTGGGGCCTGTCGTGGGGTGGGGGGAGGGGGGAGGGATAGCATTAGGAGATATACCTAATGTAAATGACGAGTTAATGGGTGCAGCACACCAACATGGCGCATGTATACATATTTAACAATCCTGCACGTTGTGCACATGTACTGGAACTTAAAGTATAATAACAAAAAAAGTAAAAATAAAAAAAGAAAGTAGCATTTTAAAAAACCACCTCCCAATAAATAGCCTATAAACACTTTCACTTCCTTTTTTGAATAGAACTTTTTGGCTAAAAAGTTGATTATCACTGGTATTAGTTTGTTCATCTGCGCATTTGTCAATGCTTTTGATAGTTTCTGGAAAGCAATAGGCAATTAATTCTGTTTACTGAATAAATGAATTAACAAGTGAATGAATCTCTGAAGGTCACCCACCATGTGGTTAGCTCCTCGAGGATCAGAACAGCTCCTTTTCTCCTGTATTCTGCCCTCGTAATCAGGAACTTCTTTGCCCACTCACTGACCTGACAGAACTTGTTTCAAAAAGCTTTCTCCATTTCAGTGCAAAATAATAAATTGAACAACACAATTCCTTGTCTGTAGCACCCAGACAAAAGGTCAATTCTTGTCCTTTCTTGGCCGCTTTTCAAGAAATCCTGCCCAAGAGGCACCTGTGAGTCTTTATGGAACAAGAGGACCAAATCCCAGTCTGAGACTAGTGGCTGCTCTCCCATCCTAGGTACCTTTCTCTTAAGAAAGCACTCCCTTTTAGGGTTGTACAACTGCTGATCCTGCATTTACATAATCCAGAGAGTGAGTGCCTTCTTAAATTTTACTCCCTAGTTGCCTCACTCTTCCATGGTTTTGACCTCATCAACTTGGCTGAGTCCTAAAAAGAACCAGACAGCAAGGAAATACTCTCTAAGAATTACTGAATCCAATTTGTCTCAATGTACAATGTCTTCTTTAACACATAAATGGAATGTGTGGGCTGGACACTGACTTTCAAAACTTCCATCCTATACGTCTTTGAGCATTACTGAGAATAAACTGCTTTCATTTAAACGGAGACATTCTGTTCCCCAAAGCAGTGAGCCAGAGAGGTCTGTCAACCACAGCTGTTTCCCAGCTGTCCATGGAGCTGTTGAACTGCTTCAAACGGTTTTCAGTATGTTCTCGAAATTTCATCTTCAGAACACCTGGAGCCTTGCTTGATCCACTTTCAACATCCTGAAGCATTTATATAGTTGGTTGTTATCTATTATTGTGTCCAATTCTGTTCTGGAGGTGACTTTCCATAACTAGCTTCCAACTTCTGAAGCAAGACCTTTGTGCCAAGACCTTGCTATTTACAACTCTGTACTAAAGTAGAAAACAGTGGTTGGAAACTTGACTGTGATGTCAAACCAACCTGTGTTCTGATCAGACCCCAGCTGTTATGCAAATGAACTTGGTGATCTTGAGCAGGCTACTTAACCTCATTAAGCTTCAAGTAAGCTTCCTTGGTAAAATGGGGATAAAATAATCCCTTCTTCAGGTTTTTGGAGAATAATTAATTGGAGTTATTTATGCAAAATGTTTGGCATATTGTAAGTGCTTCATCAGTGGTGGTTACTGTATTGTTATTGTTCATGCCATCAAAACTATTAGTGGGTCAGTCCAGTATAAAATGGAATGACAGTTTCTACTTGTTTTCCTTTAACACTTAAAAATAACTTCAAATGAGAAAAAGTAGATATTATCAAGCAGAGAAATGTTAAAAACTCTTCTCTATCTCTCTTCCTTTCTCACAAATTACTCCCTTGAACTTCTGTATTTGGAAAGAACAGTTCCTATTCTGTGTCCATTTACTTTGTCTTTCTGAGTCTTAGGGTCTTCATCTAAAAATGAGGATGTTGAGCAAGATTGTCTTTAAGGGCCTTCCACATCTAAATTTCTATGGGTCTCACTCCAAACTCCAAACTGTAGTCTCCAGATGTGGAATGTGTATATTTTCCAAATCATGCGGATGGAGCCCTGATGCAGTGCTGGGATCAAGGGTGTGCTTTGCAGGGTTACAGAGCAGCATGTGCAATGGGCAGAACAATGTCAAGAAAAGTGATCATGAGTTTAACACTTCTCTGCATGAATGAGGGGAGGGCTGTCATAATTTCAAATGCATATGCCCTTGTTTTGACTGTGACTCTAAGGGTTACCAAGACAGGACACTCCAAAGAGTATCTGAGCCCAGGGAGACCTTGCTAATGTTCTGCAGGTGACGTCGTCTGTGGCCCTGGAGAGAAACATGGCTCATGGTTCTTCCAGCTGAGCTGTTATCTTCTTCATCTGGGCAAAATATTGGCTTGAGGTACAGGAGACCTTAAGCTTTCTCAGAGCCTTCTCCCCACCAGGTGGTACTCTGTGTTTACAAAGCTGCCTGGATTACCTCTGTCTTGTCTTTTAGACTACTGCCAGTTGTCGTATCTACCTCCCTCTTTAGACTGGGAGCATGCTGAGAGCAGAACCTGTGTCTGGTTTATTATCCCTTCCCTCAGTAGCTCCTACAGTGCCTATGACATAGCAGGCAATGAACAAATGTTTGTTAAATAAAATCAATTATAAAGTGGGAACTTGACTCTTGACTCTTGGATTTCATTTTCTTCCAAAGCTTGATTGGCACATCACTGTTCTATTTTGAGAAACAGCAATGGTGTAGGACAAAGAATATTGGACCTGATTTGTCTCCCATCTCTGCCACTTACGAGCCTTGTAAATGTACCACTTAAGTTTTTAGAACCTCTGTTGCTTGGAATGGAGATAATTGATCGGCTGTGGTGATGATCAAATTAGATGATATATTTGTACACATTTAGTTAATGGCTGCTATCACTAGATAACATACTCTCTAGTAGACGTATTCAGATGGAGCTTTTAATTTGCTGCCAATCCGTGGCTTTGGGTTGCTTCTACATATTGATTCAAGTACAGCCATTGCTTCAATAATTTTAAGCTGGCTGCAAGTTAGCAAAAGTCAGTTTTTTTTTCAGATAGATGTTAGTGTTTAGTATCTAGCAAAAACACAGTCTAGAAATCTAAGGAAACAGAATTCCTAGCTTCCATACCTATATTTCATTAACTTGCCGTGAAACCTTGAGATAATCTTAAAATTTGCTGCACCTCAATTATTTCACCTAAGAAATGGGTCTTCTCTACCCAAGAACACAATGTGAAAATAACTGAAATACTGTCTGTAGAAGCTCTTTGAGCTCTTTGAAAGAGTCAAACAATATAAATCAAAGCTGTTATTTTTATTTCTGAGTAAATTTGCTCAAGAATAGAATTGAGGTTTATATGATGGAGTTTTACAGACATAGGTTTATGTAGAGGGTTTTAAACTGATGCTATTCCATTGTGCTTAACACTGAATTGTAAAGACACAGAAAATACAGCCAAGTACTGTTAAATGACACTGTGTGCAGGTTTGAAATGCAGATTGCATAGTAAAAATGGCTGATACGTCTGTGCTCTCTAGAAGCCTGCTGGCTTCAGTGGGAGGTACTCTGGTCTAACATCCTCTGACTCCCTCTGAGGTGTAATTTCTCCCCCCTTGGAATTCAATGAAAACATATGAATATCTCTTACTGCTTCTGTTCTCTCACAGCAATACCAATGCAATCTTTCTCTACCAAATATTAGATGCTAAAAGTAGAGTCATCCAACTTTCTTTATAGATGACAGAGCAAATAATTCAGGAACACAAACTTTATACTATATGAGAGCATTTTTTGCTGTTTATAATATGGCATAAAACCATCTTGATCTCTTCCTGCTTAGCCGATATTAAATGAATGTTGTCTTTGTTCTCTAAGCCAGCCCTGGTACTGAAGGAACTACTTTGTCAATTACATCTTAAATTTTTTTTTTGTCTGTGAATAGAAAATTATTCCGTTTTCTCTTGAATTCTTGTGTAGAATATTGATAACACCAGTGATGAGAAACCACAAGTGTAATATAGGCTAAAACTAAATGCAGAGGCAGAGAGGGCCAGAAGGTGAAAAAGAACAATATCCATGATTTTAAAAAGATGTGATCCAAACAAAAGAAATCAATGAAGAACACAATTAAATATTGAAACACAACAGTGATTAGAGAGCATGATCAGAGAAACTGAAGGAAAACAAAACTGAAAAATAAAAACTTTTCTGATTATGCCAATGTGAGTAATCTTTCTCCGGTGTTAGAAAAATTAAATATTTAAACCTGGAGTTCCACGATGAATGAAAAATATGAGAGACAGCCCAATTAAGTCATCCTTACTGAAGAGGCTTTTCTCCAAAAATAACAGTCCTGCTTTTAATTATAGGTTCTTGGGTCTGTTAATCAGCCATCTTCCTCAAGGCTAAGCTTGGTGCAAATAACAGAGAAGGATTCAGCAAAATGCCCTGTTTAATTAAAATGAATTTAATTAAAAATATTTTTATACACATGACCAATCACCATTATTTATGCAGATGTTCCCACATAAGTCTTTGAAAAGGCATTTCTCCCCCCAACCTTTAAAAAATATGCTGTGCTTCTACAAGAACTGCTATGAAATGAAAAGCACTATGACTGGTAGTTAATACCTATTTTTATCAAAACAGCAGTGCAGCTCACACATCACCTGAGCAGCCGTAACCATAGTAACCCCAAATAGAAAGGGGCTTCAGATTATCAACACCATCAAAGGTAAGATAGTTCATGTGCCTCTGCAATAGTTACACTACAGCAAACTTTAAAGGATAAAGGTGGCTTTTATTCCTACTACTTAAATGTTAAATGAAAATAATGACTTGCAAGTACAGTGTATAGAAATGCCTTTCATTTTGGAAGACTCTTATTTCCTCAAAGTGTTAATAATAGAAAAGATGAAAACTCAATGCTATACATTTCTCCAGTGCTTCTATCTGATTATGGCGAGGGGACAGTAATCATCATTTTGCCAAGTTGGAGAATTCATACAGGGAAAACCCCACCCATAGGAGCCCTGCAGGATGAGAAGCTGGACGAGAAGGCATATTCTGTGTCCATGCACTCAGTGAGAGGATGGCTATGGTTAGTGATGATTGTCGACACGAATTACCTGCAATAAGGTATAGATGGTGACTTAGGGTGTAGACTGGCAGTCAAATCACAAAGAAAATGCACATTTAATTAGAGAAGGAGTGGAACTGGTTTGAAATATCAGTGAAATACCAATCCAAATACAAATCTGTATTTGGCTTTATAATTTATGGTTGGGGTAGGATGGAGTAGGGAAGGGTGGGAGGGCAGGGCATAAAAGGCCAGCAAGACCATACTTATTAATTATATTGTTAATTAATAATATTAATAATATTGATTATTCTATCAGAGGAACTATGATCTAGATAATCCAAAACAGAGACTAGTAGAAAAGACTTTCTGACAACATTTCCTAATGTTCAATATGTCTAGGGGGGCAGCATCTGGAAACATGGAGAAAATATTCTAAATTTTAAATATTTAAGTGTATAGTAGCTATTACAAAAAGCAGAAATTCCACATGAGGATAAATATAATTTTATTAATTTTTTCTTTTTAGTCTCTTTACATTTGAGATTTACCGTGGAAGTGGATGGACAAGTAATGAAAACATAAGAAAACAAATTCTTTAATTATGGTCATGTAGGAAGAAAATGGTATCTGGAAATTTTATGTTCAGGAATAAATAGGAATATCATGATAGTGTTATCTAAAAATCCAATAAAGTGCCTGAGAAGAATTCACTGCTAATAAAAATGTGTTTTAAAACACTTAGCAATTTACACATAATTTTCCATACAGCTCTTCATTTGATCTGACAAAAATTCTTTGAAGAAATGGAAGGTACTTTCTGTTTTGTTTTGTTTTGATAGTCTCTATTTTAAGGAAGTGGAAAGTGAGGTTCCAATAAGTTAAAGCATTAAACTGTGATGCTCCATTCACCCATGACACTAATCTTGCCTTAATGAACTGACACTTTTGATATCCAGGACGCTCTGACCACCAATCCCAACCTCATTTTTAGGAAATTTTTCTACCCTTATTACGTGCTTATTTTATTTTTAGTGGAAGGCTCCTCTTGGGATTAGTTTATGAGACATCCCTAACTGTGATCCTTTTATGCAGGCAATTTCACAGGGCCTCTCTTAGATGCTTTCACCCATAAACACACGAGCAGTGCCAGCGCCCTGGTTCACACTTCCCCTTGAAACCGGTGCGCCCCAGAATTAGAGCGACACCTAGCCGTGATTTTAGGTAGTACATGCTAGGAAAGCTTATTTGGGCAAGGGAGACAAACAAGAGACATCAGAGCTGGTGGCATCTCAAGAGGATACTACTCCCAGAGGTAGAAATCTCAGAGGTTTTCTAACAGCACTTTCTACTGGGAACTAGGACTCCTGCAGTTCACATTCTCTGAGGAGGAACTATATGATAAGGGAAGTTTATTATAATTATAATAAAAGGTAAGATGTGCACCCTTGAAATTACATACAGGTTCTACCAGTGCAATAAATGATATCTATTTCAGATTAAAAATATCAGTTCCAAGCCTCCTTCATCTCAATAATTCTTGACATTTACTCAGAAAAGCAAATATTTCATTCAGTTTTTATATTCATCGGGGCTGTGGACTAGTGCTACTAGCATCAACGAGACACTTGTTAGAAATGGGGTGTTGGACTTGACCCTGGACCTACGGAATCAGAATTTCAGGAGGCAGAACCCCCTAATTAGTACTTTCAGACTCTCCAAGTGAGTTTTACGTTCACTCACATTGGAGAACCTACTAATATAGAGCAAGAAGTAATCTTAAAAATCATCTAATTCCTCTAGGAATATATTAGGCAAATAAGGCCTAGAAAGCTTAAGTGGCCACCTTGAATTTTCCCTGCACATCAGAAATATGCCTTGTGCATAGTAACAGGGATTGAACTAGACCTGAGGTCTCCTAACTCCCAATAATAAAAATAGCATAGTGCTATGACACTTGTCAAGTGCAGGCTGGTTGGGCAAAACATTAGCTAAACAGAGACTTTGACTTTGTATCTATATTCCTCCTGGCTTCTAATTTCAGTAAATGAATTATCATCCATGCATTTAATTTAGGCACCAGACAGGATAATCCACAGTAAATTTTCTAAATTCAATTAACATGAGCCAGTAGTAGTCTCCTTATGAAAGCCAACAACGAGGGCTCAGGGCTTCATCAAGCACTTGGGATTCTTAGCACACTTTAGCTACTGGAGCAAGCAGAGATGTGTGACTTACATGTAATATGAGAAGTCATTGATTTTCATTTCTTTTTTCACTTCACGGCAGACACAATATCATACTGAGTTTGAAGATTTTCCTTTAAGATTTTCTCATTATACTTCAGAGTGATTTACTAATATCATATAAAAATGATTGGTTATTTTCTCATTTTTATGAAATTTTGAAGTTTTCAAGTGTACAGATGTGTTTCCACATAAATCCATAAATATGATCATAATATGCATACTCTTTGTTTAGTCGTTTGCTTTAATAGTCTTTTTTCTTTTCCTTTTTGGTATGTCTCTCTTTTTTCCACCTCTTCCTCTCTTAAACTCATATCTCCTCTCTCCCCAAGTAACCCAATTTTACAACGCAGTACAGAGGTCCTCAATGTTTTTGGCACCAGGGACAGGTTTCTCGTGGGGGATGGGGAGGAGGGCGAGGTGGGGATGGTTTCGGAATGAAACTTCCACCTCAGCTCATCAGGCATTAGATTCTCATGAGGAGCACACAACCTAGATCCCTCGCATGCGCAGTTCACAATAGGGTTCACACTTCTATGACAATCTAATGCTGCCGCTGATCTGACAGGAGGTAAAGCCCAGGTGGTTATGCTGGCTGGCCTGCCACTCACCTCCTGCTGTGCAGCTTGGTTCCTAACAAGCCACAGACCTGTACCCGTCTGTGGCCCGGGAGGCTGGGGACACCTGACCTAGTATATGTCCTACCAATTTCTCTTTATACTAAAATTCTCATTATAACAATTACACACACACTTGTAACAATGTTAAATTAGATGTTTAAAATGAGAAACAAAGCAAAAACAAACAAACAAACAAAACAAACAAAAACACATGTTATGTAGTGAGATGTACAATCTTAAAAGCAGCTGGGTGTGGTGGCTCATGCCTGTAATCCCAGTAATTTGGGAGGCTGAGGAGGGCGGATCATGAGGTCAGGAGAGCGACACCATCCTGCTCAACATGGTGAAACCCTGTCCCTACCAAAAATACAAAAATTAGCTGGGCGTGGCGGCGTGTGTCTGTAGTTACAGCTACTCGGGAGGCTGAGGCAGGAGAATCGCTTGAACCCAGGAGGCGGAAGTTGCAGTGAGCCGAGATCACGCCACTGCACTCCAGCCTGGGGACAGAGTGAGACTCCTTCTCAAACAAACAAACAAACAAAAACAAACAAAACAAAACAAAAAAACCCAGCACGTGTCTGAAAACCAGTTACATGACTCCATTGAACCTCTCTGCCATTTAAGAATGTGAAAGATCCTAGACTAGAGGTTAAGATCTGTGAAGGGAGTTCTTTTACTACTTGTGAGTTGTAAATCTGAACTCCCACATGGGGAGGGTTGTTTGCACATCTCAAGCCTGTAAAAAGAGACTTCCCTAGACCATCAGACAGCTTAAGATGACACACATGGAGTTTGGGGACACAGTGGATTACTGTTTGACTCTCGCTTTGCCATTATTACATGGGACTGCACATGTTCATTGCTGAGTTGAGTCTGTGATTACAACTCACAAACCAAATATTTTTATCCAGCAAGTCGGAAAGTAGTAGTCCCACACAATATTTTAAGGGGAGACTGGAAGAAAAAAAAGCACTTTCTGTGCCTATACCTCACAAGTCCCACTTTTCAATATAAAAGTTACACACAGATATGCATGGGGGTTATCTACACATAAATTTATAGGGGTCACCACTGCTTTTAAAAATGTGAATCATATTTTTATATACATTTTTGCATTTACTTTAATAGTCAACAATGCCTGCTGGAAAACTCTCAAGTTAACTGGAAGGGCACTAATTTATTTTTTTAATAGACATACAATATTGTGTAGATGTCCTACAATCTATCATCTTAAAAATGTTGCAGTACACATTCTTGTTCATATATCCTTAAGAACTGGTGGTTTTACTTGTGTGAGATAGCCTCCCAGGAGTCAGATTGCTGGGTCAAAAGGGGCTGTATATTTTAAGGTATAATAGCTTTGCCAAATTACTTTCCAGAAGTCTGTTAATGATTTAAATGTTCTCTAGAAATGTGTAAAAGTCCACTCTTTCCTGCAACCCTGCCAGCAATGACTGTTACTTGGTATTATAATTGTTGCCAAACTGTTAGGGGTAAAATGATATGCTGTTACTTTAATTTACATTTCCATGACTTCTTGGAAGTTTGAATAACTTTTTACATTTGTGGAACAAGTGGATTTGTGTGTCTATGAATTGCCTCTTCAGAGTCTTTTTTTTTTTTTTTTTTTTTGAGACAGAGTCTCGCTCTGTCGCCCAGGCTGGAGTGCAGTGGCACAATCTCGGCTCACTGCAAGCTCTGCCCCCCTGGTTCGTGTCATTCTCATGCCTCAGCTTCCCAAGTAGCTGGGACTACAGGCGCCTGCCACCATGCCCAGCTAATGTTTTGTATTTTTAGTAGAGACGGGGTTTCACCGTGTTAGCCAGGATGGTCTGGATCTCCTGACCTCGTGATCCACCCGCCTCAGCCTCCCAAAGTGCTGGGATTACAGGCATGAGCCACCGCGCCCAGCCTGCCTCTTCATAGTCTTTGTCAGTGTTTCCGTTACTTACTTCCAGATTGTCATTTTAAAGTGTTCTTTGTGTATTAAAAATAGTAATATTCTGTCCTTCGTATTTTAATAATTTTTCCCCAGTGTGTTGCCTATCTATTGACTGTTTATGGTGTCTTTTCCACTTAAATGTATTTTCTTTTTATATCTTCAAATATATCTATATTTATGGATTCTGGTTTTCCATTCTTTGTTAAGAAGAGTCTCTATATCCTTAATCTATAGATATAGATTTATAGATTTTCTTGCAGTAGTTTTTTAAAATTTCATTATTTACATTTTAATTCTTCTAAATATATTTTTGTAAATGGTTATATGTGTTCAATTTTATAATCTAAATGGATAGCCAGTGAATTGTGCTAGTACCATTTGTTAAATAAACCATCATTTCCCCATTGAATTGAAAGACCACCTCTGTCAGATTATCATTTTTCAATGAAATCTGTGTCTGGATCATCTATTATTTTTTACTGGTCTTGTGCTTCCTAGGCCAATACCACACTGATTTGATTATAATGGCATTGTAGTATATTCTTACATCTGATTAGGTAGGTTACCTCATGGTTTTATTCCACTTTATAAGCTTTAAGATAATTTTATCCAGTTTCAATGTTTAAAGTGGTAAGTTTTCATTGAAATTACCTTAAATTTTTGTATGAATTGGAGGAAAGTAGAATTTTCATGAAAGCTTTCTTCTCATCACCAAGATGGTGAACTATAATAGCATCGGCTACTGCTTTCCTCCACAAAGTCAATGATGAAGAAAGTATATAGAGAAAAGTGGAATTGAAACTAATAACAACAAAAGCCATGAGAAATCCCCAGGGAGAAGGAGCACTGTTTTGGATTGATGTGTGTGGGAAAGAGGTGAGAGGGGTGGGAAAGAGGTGAGGGGGGTGGGAAGAGTGCAGCAAATCTGGCAATGGGCGGCTACACACAGCAGTAAAAAAAAGCAAATTAGGAAAACAAACAAACAAACAAACAAAAACTGTTTAAGCTCTGCCATTTGGCTTACTTGCATTTCCATGGAGTAATCATTGCTTAGCTCCTTGCCACACAAAGCATGCACAACTGGCTAAACACTGGGGCAGGTGTTCATGGGGGAAATGTCAGGATCAGTGCAAAAGGTTTTGTGAGGTAAGGAGTTGATAAGAACAGGTAGAGACTGAGCAGCCTTAGGCATTCTCTTTCCCTACAAATCCTAGGCTGATGGATTATCAATGTTGCTTCTCCCTTAGGGCCTAAACCCCAACCTGAGAAGTTGGCTAGGCAGGGTTTCTCAACCTTGGCACTATTGATATTTTAGACCAGACAATTACCTGCAGTTGGGGGCCGTCTAGTGCGTTTTCAAAGTTTAGCAGCATCCCTGCCCTCTACCCGTCCAATGCCAGTAGTGCATTCCCCCAGCTGTAACTAGCAAAAAATGTCTCCACAGTTAATGTGTTCTGAGGCTTAACATCACTACCCTGGGTTAGTGGGATGACGGCAAATGAAAATGATAACTGTAGTTTTGAGGCCCTTCTCCAATACGTATTGCCAATTCAATAGTTGATACTCCTAAAGGAACATGAGCAAAAGTGAAAAATAGCTAGACACCTGAGGGTTATGACAACTTAGAGAAAATCAACAAACAAAAAACGGAAGTATTAGAATAGATACATAAAACATTTTCAATAAGTATACTAAATACACTTAAAGAGACAGAAGAAAATTAAATAAAAGGAAATATCAGGTATGAAAAACATAGCAGAAAAAAATTATAACAGATGGAATAAATAGGATAATGGATACAACTGAAGAAATAATTTAGATAATGGGAAACCTGATTGAGGAACTCCTCCAGCAGGAAGCAAGACAGATTGAAGAGATAAAAGTACAATTTTAAAATGTTAGGAGACATGAGAGATAAAAATAGAGGTGCAACATATAGATAATACGAGTACCACTAGATTAAAATAAAAATGAAGAGAAATAAATATTTGAGAGAATAAAAAAGAAAATAACTTTGAATCTATACTTTTATGTCTAAACAAATTGCTATTGAATATGAGGGTATAATTAAAATTTTTCAGGCATACAAGGCTTTGGAAAGAATGTCACACATAAACTGACATTAAAAACATTTTTGAATGATGTATTCAAATAGAATGAAAAATTTAGAAACTGCTGGAAGGTTTATGAAAAGTAACAGGGATTATATAGTTTGCTAAAGTTTTTCATTGTTTAAAAAGTACTCCATGAAAAAAATCTAGGAGGAAGAAAAAGATAAAGTATGTCCATAATTAAATCTTCCCATTCTAGAGCATGACTTTTCATTTGTTCATATCTTGTTTTACATTTTATATCCCTTAAAATATTATACCTTTATTCTTTATTAAAATTAGTATCAAATAGTTGTAAGTTTTATAGATATTGAATTTTATTTCTAGAAACTTGCTGCTAAATTTTTTAAATGCTATTGGATTTTGTATATTTATCTTATACTCGGGCACCTCACAAAATTTCGTTTTTAATTCTAATAGTTTTTTAGAATAGAGTAACATCAACAAAAATGGCAGCTTTATTTCCTAATTTCTACTTTTATGTGATGTTTTATTTTCTTTCATTTTCTTACCGAATTTGCTAGAACTTCTATGCCAGTATCTTCTATTTTTCCCTTTACACATTCTCTGCTTTGGGACACTGACCACGTGAACTACATCAATAAGTTCCCATGCCCTCTAGCTTCTCATTGGATTTGGCCAATGAGAAGCCCCAGAAGATATCAGAGGAGGGGCAGAAAGGAAGACTTAGGTATTTATTCCCTGACATTTTCCCCCTGAAATGCTACCTTGAACTAAAAGTGTCCCTGAACAGGTTATCGCTCTCCACCAGGTGACATATTCCACAAGCTTTCTCCCACTGAATTCTAATGACCACTCTCTCCTCTTGTTGCTTTGAACCTAAGAGTGATAACTGTTTGGCTACTCCCAAGCTCCAGATGCCTGCACTATTCTTTGTAGTTCTTCTACAAATAAACTTTGCAACAAGTCCTCTATAAATAAAACCTTCTTGAATTATCCAGTTTCAAGTTTTCATTTAGAATAATATTTGGTATTAGATTTTGGTAAATACTTTGAATTATATTTAAACAGTTTTTTTTTACTTAGAATTTTTATTAGTAACGCTGCCGCATATTATTAAATGTCTTTTCCTCACAGATATGATTATATATTTTATTCTCTTATAATGTATCGATGTAACAGGTTATGTTAATGGGTTCCATGATATTGTACCACTCTCACTTTCATGGTATATTCTGCCTAACTAGCATTATTATTCTTTTGATGGATTTATTTATCTGACAAATATTTACTGATAGTCTCCTCTGAGACAGCTTATATTCTAGGCATTGGGAATATATTGTTGAACAGAATTTCTGACCATGTGCAACTAACGTTGCTGAGTTCTTTTTATAAGATTTCTTATAAGGTTGTTCAAATTATATTCTGACTATTTCAGGAATTTATTTCCTGGGTGTGTGCTCTGTTTATTCTGACCAGTCTTCCTCCCTCAGGCTGCTGAAAAGTCTTGATGTGCTTTTATCTTTCTTTGTCAGCTTTTTGGAGTTTAAGACTGTTTGTTGGACTACCTTCTGTGATAGCAGTCCTCTGAGTGGCAGAAGATAGGCCAGTGATGGAGAAGCAGGTGGGCTACCCTTCAGGTACCTGGAGGAGATAGGTCCCTTACCCAGTAACCAAAGAATCAAATTCACTCATGCAGGCTAATGTCAACTACTACCACCTTCCTACCACCAACGTCCACAGATTTCCACAACCCAAACCACTTTTCAGGATTCATAGCTTTCCAGTCTCCATCTAAAGACTTGTTTGAAACTGGTATCTAGAGGCTCATGCTACTCATTGTAGAGAAAGCTCACTATCTGTTATTTCTGTAGGGTTTGCATAAAGCTCAAGGCTTCACCAGGACTCAGCTGCATATAGGAACCAACTCCTCTTTGCCTTAGGAAAATCAGATAAATTACAGTAATAAAGGGCAAGAAAGCCAAGTTAAAGTCACTACTTTCCCAGAATCCACTGCTGACCTTCATGAATTTTTTTAAAGTGATTGTAATGTTAAGTTTTGAAATGACTCTCCTAGGGCCAAGTCACTCACCTCTAAACCTTAGTTTGCTCTTTTATAAAACAAGGGTGGTAAATTAAAGGAAGTAGCTCTTTCCACAAAAGTATCCTACAATTTTATTATTTTAAATCATTCATTTTATATCTAAAAGCATTGTGCATACATTGTCTGGATCAATGAAAGCAGCTATAAAAATTTGTATAAGTTGAGAAATTTTAACTAAACTATATATTTTATAATATTTAACATTATATTAGTTTGTCATTTTTGTTGTAATAAATTATAACAAACTTAGTGGCTTAAAATAATGCAAATTTATTATCTTATATTTCTGTATATTAGAAGTTCAACACATGTCTCAGTTATATCAAATTAGGGTAGCAGAGCTGCATTTCTTTCTGTAGGCACAAGAGGATAATCAGTTTCTTTGCCCTTTCCAACTTCCAGAGGCCACCAAAATTTCTGGGCTCTTAGCCCCCTTCCTCCATCTTCAAAGTCAGCAACATTATATCTTTCTGCCCTTTTCTTTTATAGCCACATCTTCCTCTGATTGCAGCCAGGAAAAGTTCTGCAACTTTCAGAGACCCATGTGATTAAACTGGGCCCATTCAGATAATCCAGGGTAATCTCCACATTTCAAGGTCCTTAATTTAATTAATCTTGTAAATCCCTTTTTGCTATTTAAGGTAATATATTCACAGGTTCTAAAGATTAAGGTATGGGCATCTTTGGAGGGCCATTATTTTGCCTACCATGAAATTTACTATTAATGTTTTAGGTGTGATGATGGAATTGTGGTTATGTTTAAAATTATATGTTTAAAAGGGTAGTTTATTTATGGGTGCATTATTTGACCAAGGGTGGCGATAAGTTCTGTACATTCCATTTAGATGAAATAAGTAGCAGCTTAAACTAAAAGTGATTGTGTGACTTCTAATATGATGCAACGTGATCGATCAAGCATCGCCTATTGAACATTCTTGCAAAAACTGAGGAATTCGAATCTAAGTAATCAGGACTCTCTGAAGCTAACTTTCACTTACAGAAATATGAGGATATAGGAACAATTAAATGATACTATGGGAAGTGACAAATCCAGAATGTGGTACATCTTGTAGAACTGACCCAATTTTCTCAATAATAGCATTTTTAAAAAAGGTAGGAAGGAGCACTGCTGTAGATTAAAGGAGAACGCAGAGAAGAGACAACTAAATATCACTTGTGAAACCTGTTTGAGTTATCAAAGGCAAAGGGCAAAAATCGGGAAAATTTCAGTGTGGATTGGTTATTAGATAATACCAATGGATTATGGAACAATTTTCAGGTTGGATAGTGCCGTCACGACATGTAAGAACCATGTCCTTCATCTTAGAGATGGGTACCAAAGTACATAGGGGTAAAATGATAATGTCTGAGATTTGCTTTTAAAAATTATGACCTCTCATCTATAAGAATAGATGTCAAAGTATATTTGTGTTTTATTCAAAGCAAAATTATCACATTACATATATTACACTCCCAACTTTAACCAGGCAACTCACAAATGAATATAGTTGGTCACGGGAGAACTAACCAGGTAGGAAGAATCATGGAAATTCATTATTATCATGAAAACAAGCAAAAATATACATGTCTCACTGTATTATACTGATGGAAAAATAGCAGCCCCATCTTAGTGCAGCATAAAAATAATGATGACAACATAACAATAAAAATAAGACATATTATCTTATTTAATCCTTATCAAGAACCTTTAAAATAAACCTTATAGTCCCATTTTATATTTGGAGTAACTGAGGCCAAGTGAGTCAGATAAAATGAAGATTTAAACATGACTGTCCCACACCACGAACAGTGTTCTTAATATTCAATGACTGCTCTATTTATTTGATAAGTATTTATTATGTACTGTGCAGAACTCAATGGGCCTTTTATATTGTGAAGCATCTGTGATGATCTAGTCATTAAATATTATCTAGTGTTGATGATGATACAGATAAAGAAATAGATCCTATTAAGCACTTGTGTATTTTGCCTTGTTTGGTGAGAGAACTGAACTAATAATTTACATCAAATAGATTTTTAAAATCTGAACTTGATGAAAAAAATCATGGACTGTATTTTCCAGCTGGCTATGCAGGTTGTCTCCCTTTACTCATTTTAGATAAGTATTTACTTTTCATATTGAGTCTACCCAATTTAGGAACATTAAATGTGTCAACACACTTTGAAACCATGCTAACGTAATATAAATACCAAGTTTCTTGAACCTGTGACATGTTACATAAGAGAAAACAGTAATGGGTGTTTCAAAAACAATGCTGAGATTGTCAGGCTTAAGAACTTATTTATATTCTTACAAAAAGAATACAATTGAGACATTTGGGCAGGAGTTTATTTAATCCACTGTCCCCAAGTCAGAGGCTACAGTATTTGTGGTTTAAATGGCACATATATGATATTTGAATCATATAGATATTTACCCTCTTTTATTTCTGAAGCTTGGGTATAAAGTAGTTTATAGGTTATTATGCATCAAAGCAGAAAAATGAGACTGGGAGGAGAGATTTTAGAAAGCAAATCTCAGACATATTAATTCAATCTCATAAAAATAAATCGCCTATATTTTACCAAATGGTATAATCTATGTGGTGCATTGTATCTGTAATTAATACTGTATTTGTATTTAATACTCAATTTTAAATTATTACAGTATTTCTATTAAGGGTCATGGTTTTGGTTTCCAACAGTTTCATTTCCATATATCTTTATAGCAGTGCTGTCCAATAAAAATTTAACTCAAGCCACATATGTAATTTTAAATATTCTAGTAGTCTTCTTAAAAAGGTAAAAAGAAAACAAGTAAAATTAATTTTATAGGATATTTTATTTAACTTGATATTAAGTGAATATTATTTCAACATGTAATTAATACTGTATAAAATTATTAATGAGATGTTTCACTTTTTTCAAATGATGTCTTGGAAATCTAGGGTGTATTTATACTTGCAGCCCATATCAATCTGGACTAGTCACATTTCTAGGGTTCAGTAGCAACATGTATCTCGTAAGTATCATGTCGGATACAGCAACTCTAGAATGTGCCCTATCTAATGTTACCTAAATCAAGACACCCTGGATTAATTCTCTAGGAGGAAAATTGGACAAGTCTCTGAATTAATAATTATTTTCTAGTTTTGAATACTGGATTAATACTTCTGGAGCTCAAAATAGTGCAGCTGTATTTGAGTCTCAATGCAGCTGCATCATGTAAAATGAAGATACTCTAATCCAAATAGGAAACAGGGAAATTGATGAAGTGAGAAAATGCACAGAACACATGTACTTGAATGAGTGGCTTCCTGAAGACCTTGGAGGAAATGTCAGTTCCATAAATACCAGGATGAGTTTCTGGCATCTTCTGGGTGATTATTTAATACTTGATGCAATGTGCTGAGTTCTTCCTTTTCCTAAAAGAAGCTACTATTTTGAACATCTTCCAACTTAGAAAAAACACACGATTATAACTGCTTCTTGCAAGTCCACAAACCATAGCTTGAAATGCTCTGGAAAATGTTCAGCCACTGACCACCAGATAAACAGAAGAAAGAAATATTTGCTACATGGTTGGACAAGAGGAAAGGCACATATCTTTGTTTTAGTTAAATATATCTTCTTTGGTGGACAGAAACTGATAAAGCCACTCAGCTATGTACTAGAAGTCCAGCTATGTGCTAGAAATGCAGCTATGTGCTGGAAGTCTACCCTCACCTTGGGAGACTGCCCTTCCAGGGGCCATGAGACACCTCATCCGCGAGGGTGACCTGGGATACTCAACTACTTCACATTTCATAATTGAAAAGAGATACCCTTCCACACTCCACACTTTGCCCTAGCAGTTTCTTCCTCAAGTTGTATTAATTCACTGATTTAACAGGTATTTATTAAAAGCTCGCTGTTCTAGATATCAGAACTGTAAGACTGAAAAGAGGAAAAAAATCCAGAAAAATAGAAAAAAATCTCCCACACAGAAGACAAAGAAGTAAATAAATAGGTAAATAAAGAACTAAATAAATTGATCAATAGTGATTAGTAATTAGTGATGTGGAGGAAAGTAAGGCACGGACAGGGGATAGAAAGCTCTGTGATTAGGGGTGTCTGGGCAAGGGGGTGCAGTATTTAATAGGGTGAGCAAGAAAGGCTCTCACTGAGGTGACAGTTGAGCATAGACCTGAAGAAGGTGGGGAGGGAGCAACAAGCGAAAATACACCAAAGCAGCCACAAAACTGGTATGTTCAAGGCTCATGGGTATGCTTGTATCTCCACATATCTTTACACACCTTAAGGACTCCCCTCTTTATCCACCTACCCGATATGAAAGGAGATTTCCAACTTGTTAATCAAAATTGTTATCTTGGATAGTCAAATTTACCAAACGAGACCCCAAGACAGCAATGAAAAAGACAAGAGGAGAGTATGAGGCTGGACAGCTCCTTGACAAGCTTTGGCTAATCGCAAAATGAGAGCTGTTAAACGAATCATCTATTTCCAGCTGTTTGGGCTTTTGCTCTCTTAAGTTTTGTTTATCTTTCCTCTCCCATTCCCCATCCTCCTAGTCTCTGTTTTTTGCACACACCAGAAGAAGAGCTGGCTCATTCATTGAGCCCTCTGTGTATTTCTTTCTTTCCCTGTCCTGCCATTTTCCATATACTGTCTCTTTGGTTGTTCTGCCTTTCACTGTCCACTTGTTAAGTGCTGATGATGACCTTTCCATCATCAGCAAGATCTTCATCAGTAAGGAAAGGAGGAGATAAAATGAATCAAATTATAGTCAAATAATCCCAAATGGAGCTAAATCGAAAATTGGCTGAGAGTCTGAAATGTGCAGAAGAATTAGATTTAAGACTAAATGTGTATCCATAAAAGATGAATATGAAGGAAATAATAACAGCTAGCTAATATTTAGCTAAGGCTAAATGGGAAATAATTAATTTTTAAATGGCCAAGAAATGTCAGACCTGCAGAGCATAGGTTTCCTCTCGTAAATTAGTGAGTCACAATAATTTAGGCAATAAATGAATAATTGTGGGGTAAGATTAACTAGGTGTTTTAAGGTTGTTGAAGATCTTAAATTGCACCAATTTAGCAGAGAGTGGGTTCGGCATGTTTTAATATAACAATTAGTTCCCAGTAAAAGAAGAGAATTTAAGGGTTCCTATTCATGTGTGGGTTTCTACCTTATGAGATATCTTTAGCATTTGTTGATTTGAGGTTGGAACCTCAGAATATAGTTAGCAGGCTTCGGGTTGACTTTCATTTTCCCTAAAATAAAAGATTGTTTTAAAATAAAAACCAGTCTCACAGGAATAAAAATCATGGAATGTTAGATCTAGAAGGATATTAGACCTTTAGTTAAAACTTTTTATTTTACAGATGAAGAGTCAGTTTTGTCTGTTAAAAAAAAAAGAAGTTGGAAGCAATGAGAAATGCTATCTTCTACTTCCAATAATGTATAAAATCGAAGTGGCTGCCCAAAGTTGCACAGCTGGTCCATGCCAAACTTGGAAAGTAGACTTGGGCCCCAGGATGCTCTTTATGGTTATGAGCCAATATTGTATTTTAAAAACTTCAGTCCACTCAGGTGTTTGATACGATGCAGATAAGTAACCATCTTACCAAGTTGGATCCCTCCCTCCCTCTCTTCCTTCCCTCCTCCCTCTCTCCCTTCCTCTCTCTTTTCCCTTTTTGCCTCCTTCCTTCCTTCCTTCCTTCTTCCCTCCCTCCCTTCTTTATTTCTTTTTCTTTCTCTCTCTTTTCCTTTCTTTCTTCTCTCTCTCTCTCTTTCTTTTGAGATGGGGTTTTGCTATGTTGTTCAGGCTGATCTAGAACTCTTGGCCTCAAGCAATCCTCCTGCCTCGGCCTCCCAGAGTGTTGGAATTACAGTCATGAGCCATTGTGCCCAGTCTGGATTTTTTTTTTCCATTTTAATTGGTTTTCCTGTGTTATCTAAACATAATTTCAGGGGCATCACCTGCCACGGAAGGAGCAGCACTTGACTACAACTCAGTTGTGTTTAGAGCTAGCTGAGTCACTCAGTAGAAGGCAACAAACTCAGCCTTCAGTGTTGGGACCAGGGAATGCTGGTTGCAGTGCTTCTGAACTTGAAGATGTGTGCAAAGGTGATGCAAAGTGAGGCCTGACCCTGAAAGCCAGAATATCTACGTATGGCAGAAGAGAACAACCTTAACTAGCTAGATAGGCTGAAAATTTATACTCTTGAGTCCATGCTTCCAGTGGCTGCCAAGGGACTTCCGCATTTCCCTTGGGCTGTGTGAGAGTGAAATCTTCTAGCAATGACATAGTGACCAGGCCATTCCTAACCCTGGGGATAGAGCAGTCTATCCCTGTATACCACTCTGGGGCTCTGATCTTCAATCTACACCATGGGTTCCAAACCTAAGACTCAGTTTCATTTCATGTTCTTTCAATCAACCTCTCATACCATAAGCAAAATAAAACATGACAAACCAGGAAAACTGTTTGTAACTTATATGACAGACAAAAGATTCATATTCCTAACATATTAAGGGCATCTAAACATTGAAATGCAAAAGTCTAATGACTCTACTGGAAAAGGGTATCTTATAAATAGAAAAAATATATATATAATTTTTATTATAAATTACATGAATCTTACTCATAATAAAATACAAAAATACAAACATACAATCTTACTCATAATAAAAGAAGTACTAAGCCATGCTATAGGGATATATAAATCCTCACCTTTCATATGGATAAACCCCCCAAGTTTTTATTGTCTACTGCATTGACAAGACTGTGAAGAACAAGTATTGTCATACATTGCTGGTATGAATGCAAACTGATACAAATTTTATGGAGGGGAGTTTGGCATCTAGGAAAATTACAAATACATTTACCATTATCTCTTTCCAGAAATGTCTCCCAAAGAAACACTGTCAAAATGTGAAAAGCTATTAATTTCAACACCATACATAATTGCAGAAGAAAGAACCCAAATTTCTATCAATAGAAGACTGATTGAATAAACTATGGGGTACTCTTCGACTACTAAAGATAATTAGAAAGATGATTATTATTATTTATTTTGAGACAGGGTCTTGCTCTGTCACTCAGGCTGGAGTGCAGTGACATGATCACAGTTCACTGCAGCCTCAGCCTTCTGGGCTCAAGTGATCCTCCCACCTCAGCCTCCCAAGTAGCTATAGCTGGAACTACTGGTGTGCACCACCACACTAGGCTATTTTTTTATTTTTTATTTTTGGAGAGACAGGGTTTCCCTATGTTGTCCAGGCTGGTCTTGAACTTCTGGGCTCAAGTGATCCTCTCACCTTGGCCTCACATAGGGTTGGGATTTTAGGTGTGGGCCACTGTTCCCAGCTGAGAAAGATTCTTATATGTTGTTATAAGGAGATCTCCAAAATACTGTTAATTAAATAAAAGTAAGGTGAAGAACCATGTGCGTAGTAGCATATAGTGGAATGTGTGCATGTTTGTGTATTTGCTTAAATTTAAAAATAGAAGGGTAAACCGAAAACCAACCAAAATCACTGAAAATTTAGGGTAAAGGAGACAGGGAGAGAAGCTAGATTTCTCTTATTTTGTTCTGTGATTTTCTTTTTAGAATCCTATATATAATCTAATTTTAAAAATTAAAAATAAAATAAAACAAATGAACATTATTATATATTGACTTGTGGCTCAACCACACAGAGAAATTATTTCAAGTGATTTTAAAAAGGGAATAATTTTTAACTGTACATCACTAGTGGGATATATCCAAAGGCTAAAAATAACCACAATAAAATCTTAAGCAGTTTTTAGTTATCATATTTTTAGTAACAATATATATATTATACTTTTGAGAATATATGTTTTAAGCAAGTAGGAAATTATATTAATGTGTGGGAAGAAAAAGAGTAGGCAGTAGAAAATAAAAACGAAAATAAAAATTCAAGGCAGTTAAGTTCATATAATACTAAATTTTAACTGAAAATATTATGAATTTGTGATATAATTTCTCCTTTTAAAAAAAGGTCTAAAAACAATTGACAATCCAGCAGCAATGCAATCCCTTAGTGCCCAGATTATGGTCTCTAACTAAATTTCTCTCTTAGAAAAAGCCAAGGCCTTTTGGAAAGAAAGGTAATTCCTAGGTGGGGTGCAGGAAATACACAAGATAAGGTTGAAATATCTAGTCTTACTCAAAAGCAAGAAACCTATCAAAAACTGTTGTCATTACAATAAAAGCATACAGGAGAAAGTTGAAGAGGCTCCCACTTGTCAAAAATGGCACCTTTTGATCATGAAAAAATATAATGACAACAGTAGAATGAAACGTATCATCTATGTAAAAATCCATGTGTTCATAATGATGTTTTTAGGAGGTCATCTCATTGGTCACATGTGCAGGATGCTACACAACACATTATTTTGAAAATTAGTAAATAAAGAGAAAAAATGGATTATTTGCCCTGCTTTTGTTGCTTAAATTATACCATTGGGTACTGAAATAATTGAACTGGAAAACTACTTCATTAAGGAGAGTACCACCAGCTAATAAATGCAAAAGGTAGGATTAGATTAGCATACCACTAGTTTGTAACCCCTAATAAATACTGGCTTAAGCAAAAACCATCAATGGGTACTAAAGCCATTGGATAAAATGGGCAACTCTAAAATGTAAAGCTTCACAAACTTTAATGTGCATATGAATCTCTTGAGGATACTGTTAAATTCTAGCATCTGATACTTGGTCTGTGGTTGAGCCTGAGATTTTACATTTATAACAAGTCACTATGTGGTGCCAATCCTGCTGGTCTGAGAAGTGATCCTCCCACCTCAGCCTCCCAAGTAGCTATAGCTGGAACTACCGAAGTGCACCATTACACAAGGCTATTTTTTTAATTTTTAAATTTTTTTTTGAGAGACAGGGTTTCCCCATGTTTTCCAGGCTGGTCTTGACCTCCCTGGCTTAAGTGATCCTCCCAACTTGGCCTCCCATAGGGTTGGGTTTATAGGCATGAGCCACCGCTCCCAGCTGAGAAAGATTCTTATATGTTCCTAAGAAACAGAAAAGTAGACCCACATTCGAGAGCTGGCCTGATACTCTTAGCTAGGCCTTGGCATTCTTCTGTTGAATAAAAACAACTTAACAGAATGACATCAGGCAAGGCTATTCTGTGACTATGATGGATCCAGACAAAAACAGTACTATTATGTAATTGTTGATGAACATTGTCCAAACCACAAAACTAAACAAACATCCCCCTATCCTGGCTATTACGAGTGACCACTGCTTCTTTACCAATTGTAGCTTTAGGTTCAATTGAGTCCTTCCTCCTTCTAAATAAGACTTAACTAAGATGCCCAGTCTTGGAGTTATTCCCACTTCCTGACAGCATCAAATCCAGACCAAAGCCCTGATGCCTTAAACCCTCACTAAAATAACCAAACATAAACCGAAGTCCTATAATAAGTCCTTTCTAATACCCACTGAGACATAACATGATTCCCCATGGTATTCACTTTCATTGCAACGAGTAATAAAAGCATCTTGTTCAACTATAGGTTGTGTTCTGGTAGTCTTTGCTAGAGTAGCAATCCAATAATATGATGGATCAGGCTGACAGCTCAGTCACCAATCACTATTTGCCTCTGGAGGTGATGAAATAGAAGGGTCCCAGCACCACCTTTAAAGTAATCATACCAAAAAAGTTGAACCTGAATCTGATTAAACCTCTGACTCTAACCATCAGTTTATAAGAAATACAGGGCACTGAGGAATATTTTAAGGAGCTATATTCGATTCAACCACAAGACAAATTACCTCTTTTTTTTTAAACAAATAAATGACAAGAAAATAAAAAATAAAAGGGAAACTTCTAGATAAAAAGAGGCCCAATAATCATATCAATCCATTGTAATATGCTGCCCTTGTTTGGATCTTGATTTGTGCAAACTGCTATACAAACAAATAATGACAATAAGACAATTAGGAATATTAAAACAATGAGTAGATTTTGGACAATATTAAAGAATGATTGTTTCAGGTCTTACAATGGCAATACTCATTTTTCAAAACATTTACAAAGAAAATAATATGATTGCTAGAATTTGCTTTAACATAATCCAGTCATGATGAGAGAGTGGGTGTGGAGGGGGTATAAATAAGGTGATTGCCCATATTTGATAATTGCTGAAGGGCATATGCCAATTCTTTTTACTATTCTCCCTATGTCTGATATGCTTGAAAAGTACCACAGTAAACATTTTTTAAAAATATCTTTAAACAACTTAATTTAATACATCATTCTCAAAAGAAGAGAAGATATATTCACTGGAGAGAAATTCAGGATGATAACTCAAAATGGCTACATGTTCTAGAGCAGGGGTGTCCAATCTTTTGGGTTCCCTGCACCACATTGGAAGAAGAATAATTTTCTTGGGCCACACATAAAATACACTAACACTAACGATACCTGATGAGCAAATAGAAAGGTCTGTGCATAAATCTCATTACGTTTTAAGAAAGTTTATGAATTTGTGTTGGCCAGCATTCAAAGCCATCTTGGGCTGCATGCAGCCCATGGACCACTGGTTGGACAAGCTTATTCTAGAGAAATAAATTGTAATGACTTTAAAGATCTCTCCCACTACTGAAATTACTTTCTAACCAATTTCTTTAGCACTATCAAAATATTCCCCTTTTCTTTTCTTTTGTAATTACTAACAGATATGTCAACTGCAGGTGAAGAAAAATAGAAATTATTATTATGTAGACGCAGGTGATGGTCTTGGGGAGAAACATTCAATTTAAATGTTTGATTCTTAAAAGAAGAAAATATATTATTTGAGCAATTACCTGGATCTGTAGCAGACATCAGTGAACCAAAAAATAAACAGTCAGTGAAATGAAAGTCTCCATTTTTCAGCTGGCCAGCATGTATCATAGCCTTCACAAAACCATACATAATTAACCTGTTGAAGAGAAAAACATGACCTTCAAACATCAAGATGAACCCTGTGTAAACCCATGCTATCATAAGCCACATGCTAATGTTTTTCCTGAATACGTATCATGCACAAATTGCCACCATCCTGCCAAATGACAGCCGTGCTAGGTCTCTGTACACTGGAATCTCTTGGCTATGAAAGACAATTTTACCAAATATCACAATTTATTCACTTGGTAAAAGGTAATGCAACAGTTTATAGTATATTCCAATGAAAACAAGATAAATCTCAAAGATATAAAAAATAATCTGTCAAATGTGGCACAGCAAATCATATCCAAAACCACAGCAGCTGTGCTGACATTTGTAAATTGATTGCTTTTCAGTTTTCCTTGTTTTGTCACTGGCGGTGTCTGAAAAGGGTTCAAATTTCAAGTCCATCACTGTGATGAGGAGGATATTGGCCAATCACAAGGCACTCAGTCAACCAGTCACTTTATAATAGATGAGTCTCTGCTGCTAGTGGTGTCAGGACACTTCCACACTGGGTAGAGAATCCCTGTTAGGTTAGAGCATGTATAACTCCAGGTCACTGTTTAAAATGAATACTGAAATAGTTGCATTGCGATCTTTCAAGGAAAGATTACATAACCTTACTGTGCCCACACCATGGCATGCAAATTGTCTGTTTTGGTCATCATTTGCCAACCTATAGCTTTTAATTGGTATTTAATTATTTAACTGACTGATTGATTTTGCTAAGATCCTAGTAGAGGAAATAGAGAGGTGGGTGAACTGAATCACAGTGTAATTTAAGAACTGTAAGAGTCTTTAGAAACTATAGACCATCAAACCAATAGATGGATGTTTAAACACTCACGTGAACTTAAAGTTAGTTCTCAGGTTTTGGGCATAGCTAAAAAGGCTAAAAGTCAGATATTTAAAAATGTCAATAAGAATGCAGATATTTTAAATTACGTTAAAAAAAAGTATCACTATGAGAGAATATTTCAGACCTACCGGCATTTAAATCCAGGCTCTACTATCTACTATCTATATGATTTTAAGTTATTACTAAAACTTTCTGAACCTGAATATCCATGAGGTAGGGATAACAGTAATAGCCCACAGAATTGTTTTAAGGATTAACTGAGGTAATACATATTTGGTGTCTGGCACATAGCAAATTCTCAATGAGGTCACTGAGGCTAAAAATAATGATCAAAATAGTAGGTAACATTTACTTACCATTTCTACTTCTACACATGCTTTATTTAACTCATTAAATACCCACATCAATGGTAATATTTTTCGTATTTTTAGCAAGAAAACTGAATATAGTGTGATGAAGTAATTTGCTTAAGGTGACACAGCTATTAAGTTGTGAAGCCCAGATGTGAATTGAGAAGGTCTGGCTCTAAAGCCTTGGCTTTTAACCATCACACTGTATTGCTTAGATCAACAGTTCTATATTTTACATGATATGTTATCTCATGTAGTACACCCTCAACCATCCCATGAGTTAGTTGCTCTAGGTAGTCCAAAAGACAGCAATGAAGTATCCCTAAGAACTTAGAAATAATTCTACCCTCTGAATTGAACTCTTAAGCCAATCCATAATGGTTTAGAGCACAGGGGCCCAACATTGCTTTGCAAAGCATGGATTCTAGAAGGGGAGGCTGAATCTTAACCAGGCTGAAGGTATTAAATATCTGAGAAAGACTGTCAGTGGGACACAGCATGGGAGCTGGGAAAAGGCAAGTCTAAGAGGCCTCATTCTTGGCAGCTCATCCACACTTATCCAGAGGACAGCACACTGCCGGTTACCAGGTGCACAGTCTCTTGACAAGTATAGGGTAGCTTCATTCAGCTTATTTATTCATTCAAAAGATACTTCTTTTATTACTATTATTATTATTATACTTTAAGTTCTGGGATACATGTGCAGAATGTGCAGGTTTGTTACATAAGTATATACATGCCATGGTGGTTTGCTGCACCCATCAACCTGTCATCTACATTAGGTATTTCTCCTAATGCTGTCCCTTCCCTAGTCCCCCACACCACAACAGGCCCCAGTGTGTAATGTTCCCCTCCCTGTGTCCATGTGTTCTCATTGTTCAGCTCCCACTTATGAGTGAGGACATGCGGTGTTTGGTTTTCTGTTCCTGTGTTAGTTTGCTGAGAATGATGGTTTCCAGCTTCATCCATGTCCCTGCAAGGGACATGAATTCATCCTTTTCATGGCTGCATAGTATTCCATGGTGTATATGTGCCACATTTTCTTTATCCAGTCTATCATTGGTGGGCATTTGGGTTGGTTCCAAGTCTTTGCTATCGTGAATAATGCTGTAATAAACATATGTATGCATGTGTCTTTATAGCAGAATGATTTACAATCCTTTGTAAATCCCAGTAATGGGATTGCTGGGTCAAATGGTATTTCTGGTTCTAGATCCTTGAGGAATCGCCACCCTGTCTTCCACAGTGGTTGAACTAATTTACACTCCCATTAACAGTGTAAAAGCAGCTGTTGTTTCCTGACTTTTTAATGATTGCCATTCTAACTGGCGTGAGATGGTTTCTCGTTGTGGTTTTGATTTTCATTTCTCTAATGACCAGTGATGATGAGCTTTTTTTCATGTATTTGTTGGCTGCATAAATGTCTTCTTTTGAGAAGTGTCTGTTCATATCCTTCACACACTATTTGATGGGGTTATTTCTTGTAAATTTGTTTAAGTTCTTTGTAGATTCTGGATATTAGCCCTTTGTCAGATGGATAGATCGCAAAAATTTTCTCCCATTCTGTAGGTTGCCTGTTCACCTGATGATGGTTTCTTTTGCTGTTCAGAAGCTCTTTAATTTAATTAGATCCCATTTGTCAATTTTGGCTTTTGTTGCCATTACTTTTGGTGTTTTAGTCATGAAGTCTTTGCCCATGCCTATGTCCTGAATGGTACTGCCTAGGTTTTCTTCTAGGGTTTTTATGGTTTTAGGTCTTATGTTTAAGTCTTTAATCCATCTTGAGTTAACTTTTGTACAAGGTGCTTCTTATTGATCCCCTACTATGTGTCAGGCTCCATGCTAAAGGCACAAATTATATCAGTGAACAAACAAAGATCCCTGCCCTCATGGGGCACACAGTTTAGCAGGATAGACAGCAATAAGACACAATCAGAAATTCAAATTATAACTGTTATCTACATTACTTTCTGATCAACACTGGGACATTCTGGACAGTCATGGCATTAGCAGAGAAATGCTCCTCAGTATTCATCCCTTCAGCCTCTTCTGGCATTAGCCCAACTTCACCTTGGCCCTTTGTCACTTGAACTACAGTTCAAATATTGAATATCAATTGGTTCTGGAATCAATATAAACTTTGTGATCTGTCACTATAGTTCTGAATTCTATATCCATTAGTTAATTTTGCAAGTTAGGAATCTGAGGCTCAGAGTTAAAATGACTTGTTCCATATTGTACAGAAGCCATTAAATTGGATATTATAAAAAATATATGTATATATACTACCAAGGTATGGCAGGGTTACATGGAAACTAGAAGCCTCATATACTATTGCTGGAAACGAAATTAAAGTTTTTATGGAAAACAATTTGGCAATTTATTCTAAAAGCATTAATTTTAGAAAATATTCTATAGCTTATTAAATAGTTTCCTATAAATTTATACCAAGAAATTAATAAAATATGTACCAAAAGATGTGAATTTAGATCAAGATTCCTGTTATTTACAAGAATGAAAAATTCAAAGCAATCTTCTACATGTCAAATGAATGAATAACATAATACATATGATGACAGACTAACATGCAACTATTAAAACTGTATATAATAATATATATTAGAAAAATAAATTGATAACACAAATTATAAAGTGATATATAAAATAAAGTATACTGGGCATGGAAAAGTAAATTATTAAGACAAGTTAATGATTATATCTAATTTTATAAAATTGAGTATACTTAGGCATACATATAAACAGAAAAAGTTAGATGCATACAGCCTCATGTTATTGTTAATAGTGGTTATATAATAGAATTCGATGACTCCTCCTTTTTGCTTTTCTGCATTTTTCCAGTTCTTTTTAAATAATAGCCATAATAAAAACAAAGAACAATGTACATTAGTGAGTGCTATTATGGACACAATAGTTATTCATTGTGTTACTTAATCCTCACAATTCTATGAGCTATGTTCTATAATTATTCCTTTTACAAATGAGAAAAGTAAGACTCAGAGAGGTTAACTAACTTACCTAAGATCACAGAATTAGCTTGTGACAAACCAGAGTTTGAATCCAGGCAGCTGGACACCAAAGCCTACATACTTAACCACCAACTCTATAATGCTTTTGAAATCAGGAGAAACATGCATGTGTGTGAGTACACACACACACACACACACACACACCCCACATACAGTTTGCTTTTTCAAAAAAGAAAGATTACTTATTTACTCCAAATCAACTCCTTGACTTAAAATAACCATAATTTCAGTCACTTCCTTGAGATAATACAAAAAATAAAAATAAAAAGCCCAGTTCAGTTCAAGCTCGTATGGTAATTGTTATTATTACAAACATAGCAAAGGCCATTATCAATGCTAATTATAATAAGCCAACAATTACTATGCACCTACAATGTGCCAGGCACTCTTATAAATGGTAGCTATTGTTATTGTTGGCACATTATTAATAAAAAACCAATTAGTTATAACTACATTAACTGGGAGGCTAAAAAATGAAGCCACCCATTACCAGTCACCGTATCCTCACAGAGTGGTATATTCTTTCTGTCATCACTTCATAGAAGGCACGATGACTCAGGACAGGATAGACGCAATTTGATGGACGAGAGATTCTGGTGAAGTCTAGTGCATACAATGCCCTGAAGATGGCAAACCTGAGTCAGATGTCCTCCTGTGGACACTCTGAGGTTAGTGACAGCCTGGGTTACAGGGGTGGACAGAAGCAGAAACTGTCTCATAAAAACTAAAATCATTAATAACATTGATTTCAACAAATATCCAATTAGTAATATCCTTTGAAAAACAGAGTGCTGGTGCTATAGTGCATATAAAGACAGAAATCCATGACCTGCTCTCAAAGAGTAGGGACTCACAGGATGGCAGTCATAAATTTTACTCTAATAGAAGGCATTGCATAAAAGGGGATTTGGGAAAATGCTTAACATACTCATTTCATTTAGAGTTATGACGCACACACTGATTTTAAATTTCATGAGGTAGTTTCACACTATTAAAGCCCTACACTTAAAGCTATGTTATAAAAATGTTTCAATACAAAAAGTTCCAGAAGTTTTAATTGTTTGGATGATTTAAAAATATAGTAACTTAATCTCAGTATTCTTTAAAAAGGAATCCTCCTCCTCCTCCCTCTTCTTTTTTAAAAATAACCTTCACTAAATTATGAATAGATCACCCGAAAAGGCAGTTTTTTGAATTGTTAGGGATAAGCAAAGGAAGTTGTCAGTTTGGAGATAAAGCTGTGTGGACCAGTCCCATTAACTGTCAGAAAAGCCACGTCCCTGACTGAAAAACCTTGTGAAATAGGCCACTGTGTACAGCTTGCTCTGCAGTGGGAAAACCCAGGATCTACATGTGCTGGAAGCAACATGAAAGTTATGATCTACATCTAAATTTCTGAATTTTATACCCAAATGTCCTTTGGGAAAATATCATGCCCTACTTATTTGTTCAGATTTTATGGATAGTTTCAATTTCACATTTTCTTTTTTCTGAAGCATGTGTTCAAGGGCAATCCCTCTCAGAACTCATAAACTGTGCTAGGCTGGAGAGGACTGGGAAGTTCCCCTAGTGAAATTCATTCATTCATGTATTCATTAATTTACACATTGACTCATTCATTCAACAAATAATTAATAATATACATAATTCCTATTCTAAAAGACTTTTTATTTTGAGATAGAGGTAGAGCAAGACGGTAGAACAGAAGGCTCCAGTGATTGTACACCCCACAAATATAACAATTTAACAACTATCTACACAAAAAAAAAGCAACTTAATAAGAACCAAATAGCAGGTGAGCACTCACAGTACCTGGTTTTGACTTCATATAGCTAAAAGAGGTACTGAGGAGGGTAGGAGACAGTTCTGAAATGCCAATGCCACTCCTCCTCCATCTCCTGGCAGCAGCAGTGTAGCATGGATAAAGAGAATCTGTGCTTCTGGGACAGGAAGAGTGCAGCAATTGTAAAACATTGTACTGAACTTACCGGTGCCGTGTCACAGCAGAAAGCCAAACTGAGCTGAACTCAGTTCATGCCTTTCCACAGAGGAAGTATAAAACCAGCCTTAGCCAGAGAGGAATTGCCTATCCCAGCGAATAGAACTTGAGTTCTGCCAAGCCTCCCCACTGTAGGCTAAATTCCTCTGGGGCCCTAAATAAACTTGAAAGGCAGTCTAGGGTACAAGGACTCAAATTCCTAGGTGATTCTGCAGCTCAGTGCTGAACTGGGCTCAGAGCCAGTGGACTGGGGGCATGAGACCTACTGAAACACCAGTCAGCGTGGCTAATGCGGTGCCTGTGTGACCCCTCCTTCAACCGTAGGCTGCACAGCTCATGGATCCAAAAGAGATCCCTTCCTTCTGCTTGAGGAGAGGAGAGAGAAGAGTAAGGAGGACTTTGTCTTGTATCTTGGATATCAGCACAGCCACAGTAGGATAGGGCACCAGTCAGAGTTGTGAGGCCCCTTTCCCAGGCCCTAGCTCCCAGATAACATTTCTAGACACACCCTGGGCCAGAAGGGAACCCACTGCCTTAAAGGGAAGGGCACAGTACTGGCAGGACCCATCATCTGCTGACCAAAGAGCCCTTGGGCCCTAAATAACCAGCAACAATACCCATGTAGCATGTCATGGGCCTTGGGTGAGACTCTGAGACTTGCTGATTTCAGGTAAAACTCAGCACATTCCCAGCCTGTGGTGGCTATGGGAAGAGTCTCCTTCCTGAGAAAAGTAGAGGGAAAAGTAGAAGGTATTTTGACTTGCACCTCAGGTATCTGCTCAGCAACAGCAGGACAGAGCACCAGGCAGACTCTTGGGCTCTTGGACAGCATCGGTAGACCTGCCCTGGGCCAGAGGGGAGGCTACTGCTCGGAAGAGTGAGTCCTAGGCCAGGTAGCATTAACTGCAAGCTGACTGAAGAGAGCTTGGGCCTTAAGGGAACATTGGCAGTGGCCTGGGAGTACTTCCTGTGGGCCTATAGTGGTGACCATGGGGTGAGGTCCCTCTGCCTGTGGAAAGGGGAGGGAAGAGTGGAAATGACTACATCTCACAGTTTGAGTACCAGCTTAGTCATAGTAAAACAGAACATCAGGTAGACTTGTAAGGATTTTGACTCTAGTACCTGGCTCCCACACAGCACCTCTGGACACATCCAGGGCTTAGGGGAACTTGCCACCTTGAAGGGAAGGATACAAGACTGGCTGGCTTTTCCACCTGCTGATGGTGGAGCCCAAGGGCCTGGCAGCAGCCAGGGAGTGGTTACAGCAGGCCTTGGGCAAGACCCAGTGCTGTGCTGGCTTCAGGTCTAACTTAGCACAGTTCCATTGGTGGTGGCCACAGGGGTACTTGTTTCACCTCAACCCCAGGTCCAGGCAGCTTAGAACAGAGCAAGGCTCCATTTGTTTGGGAGAAAGTAATGGAAGAGAACAAGAGTCACTGCCTGGTAATCTAGAGATTTCTCCCCAATCTTACCTAAGGCCTTCAAGGCAGTACCTCTTCGAGTCTGCAAGAACCACAATGTTACTGGGCTTGGGGTGCCCCTGATGCAGATATGGCTTAGATAATAACACCCAAGTCTTTTAGAATACCTGGAAAGTCTTTCCAAGAAATATGGGTACTATCAAGTCCAGGCTGCAAAGACTACAATAAATAGCCAACTGTTAAATGCCCAGACAAAGACAAACATCCACAAGCATCAAGACCACCGTGGAAAACATAACCTCACCAAGTGAACTAAATAAGGCACCAGGGAACAATTTTAAAGCAACAGAGATATATGACCCTTTTGACAGAGAATTCAAAATAGCTGTTTTGAGGAAACTCAAAGAAATTCAAGATAACACAGAAAAAGAATTCAGAATTCTATCAGATAAATTTAATGAAGAGATTGAAATAATTAAAAAGAATGAAATAGAAATTCTGGAGTTGAAAAATGCAATTGACACATGAAAGAATGCATCGGAGTCTTTCAACAGCAGAATTGATCAAGCAGAAGAAAGAATTAGTGAGCTCAAAGACAGGATATTTGAAAATACACAGTCAGAGGAGGCAAAAGAAAAAAGAATAAAAAACAATGAAGCATGCCTACAGGATCTAGGAAATAGCCTCAAAAGGGCAAATTTAAGAGTTATTGGCCTTAAAGAGGAAGTAGTGAAAGAGATAGAGGTAGAATATTTATTTAAAAGGCTAATACAGAACTTGCAAAACCTGGAGAAAGATATCAATATCCAAGTACAAGAATGTTACAGAACACCAAGCAGATGTAACCAAAAGAAGACTGCCTCAAGGCATCTAATAATCAAACTCCCAAAAGTCAAGGATAAAGAAAGGACCCTAAAAGCAGCAAGAGAAAAGAAACAAATAACATACAATAGGGCTCCAATATGTCTGGCAGCAGACTTTTCAGTGGAAATCTTACAAGCCAGGAGAGAGTGGCATGACATATTTAAAGTGCTGAAGGAAAGAAACTTTTACCCTAGAATAGTATATCTGGTGAAAATATCTTTCAAATATGCAGGAGAAATAAAGACTTTCTCAGACAAACAAAAGCTGAAAAATTTCATCAACACCAGACCTGTTCTACAAGAAATGCTGAAGAGAGTTCTTTAACCTTAGAGAAAAAGATGTTAATAAGCAATAAATAATCTGAAGTTACAAAACTCACTGGTAATAGTAAGTACACAGAAAAACACAGACTATTATAACACTGTGTCTGTGGAATATAAACTATTCAGATCTTAATTAGAAAGGCTAAATGATGAACCAATCAAAAATAATAACTACAACTTCTCAAGACATAGACAGTACCGTAATACACAAATTGAAAAAACAAAAAGTTAAAAAACAGGAGGACAAAGTTAAAGTGTAGAGTTTTTATAGGCTCTCTTTGCTTATTTGTTTGCTTATGCAAACAGTGTTGTTATCAGCTTAAAATAATGAGTTACAAGATAGTATTTGCAAGCCTAATGAAAACTGCAAATCAAAAAAAAATACAATAAACACATAAAAAATAAAAAGCAAGAAATTAAAACATACCACCAGAGAACATCACCTTCATTAAGAGGAAGAGAGGAAGAACGAAAGAAGAGAAGACTGGAAAACAACAGGACAACAAATAACAAAATGGCAGAAGTCCCTACTTATCAAGAATAACATTGAATATAAGTGAACTAAAGTCTCCAAAAAAAGACATAGAGTGGCTGAATGGATGAAAAAAACAAAAAACAAAACAAGACCCAGTGGTCTGCTGCCTATAATAAACACGCTTCACCTATAAAAGTACACATAGACTGAAAATAAAGGGATGGAAAAAGATATTCCATGTCAATGGAAACCAAAAAAGAGCAAAAGTAGCTATACTTATTTCAGATAAACTAGATTTCAAGACTAAAATTATAAGAGACAAAGGTCATCATATAATGATAAAGGAGTAAATTTAGCAAGAGAATATAATGATTGTAAATATATTTACACCCAACACTGAAGTACCCAGATATATAAAGCAAAAAATTTTCGAGCTAAAGAGTGAGATAGACCCCAATACAATAATAGCTGGAGACTTCAACATCCCACTTTCAGTCTTGGACAGATCTTCTAAACAGAAAACCAACAAAGAAACATCAGACTTACTCTACACTATAGACCAAATGCACCTAATAGATATAGAACATTTCATCCAATGGCTAAAGAATACACATTATTTTGCTCAGCACATGGATCATTCTCAAGGACAGGACATATGTTAGATCACAAAATAAATCTTAAAACATTAAAAAAATTAAAATAATATCAAGCATCTTCTCTGACCATAATGGAATAAAACAAAAAAATAGTAACAAGGAGAATTTTGGAAACTATACAAACACATGAAAATTAAGCAATATGCTCCTAAATGACAGTGGGTCAATGAAGAAATTAAGAAGGAAATTGAAAAATTTCTTGAAACAAATGGTAATAGAAACAAAACATACCAAAATCTATGGAATACAGCAAAAGCAGTACTAAGCAGGAAGTTTATAGCTAAAAGTGCCTATATCAAGGAAGAAAAAAAACTTCAAATAAACAACCTAATGATGTATCTTAACGAACCAGAAAAGAAAGAGCGAACCAAACCCAAAGTTAGTGGAATAAATGAAATAATAAAGATCAGAGCAGAAATAAATGAATTTGAAGACAACAATACAAATGATCAATAAAACAAAAAGTCAGTTGTTTTATTTTGTCCAAGAATGGGCAAATATTTAGTCAGAATAAGAAAAAAAGAGAATGAAGACTCAAATAAATAAAATTAGAGATGAAAAAAGAGACATTACAACTGATACCACTGGATCATTTTAAAGGATCATTAGTCGCTACCCTGAGCAACTATATGGCAATAAATTGGAAAATCTAGAAGACATAGATAAATTTCTACAGTCATACAACCTACCAAACTTGAACCTTGAAGAAATCCAACAGATTTGGATTGGTCCTAAACAGACCAGTAACAAGTAACAAGATTGAAGTTGTAATAAAATGTCTCCCAGTAAAGAAAAGCCCGGGGAACCCAGTGGCTTTACTGCTTCTATCAAAAATTTAAAGAACTAATGCCAACTCTGCTCAAACTATTCTGAAAAATAGAGGAGAAGGAGGGAATACTTTCACATTCATATTATGAGGCCAGTATTATCCTCATAACAAGACCAGACAACGACACATCAAAAAAAGAAAACTGCAGATCAATATCCTGATAAATATTGATGCAAATATCTTCAGCAAAATGCTAGCAAACTGAATTCAATAACGCACTGAAAACATCATTCATCATGACGAAGTGGAATTTATCCCAGGGAAGCAAGGATGTCTCAACATATGCAAATAAATTAATGTGACACATATGAACAGAATAAAGAACAAAAACCATATGATCATTTCAATTGATGACAAAAACGCATTTGATACAGCTTAACATCCCTTCATAAGAAAAACTCAAAAAACTAAAAAACCAGCAATTTCACCTCTAGGAATATATACAAATGAAAGAAAATCAGTATATTGAAGTATATCTGCACTCCTATATTTATTGCAGCGCTACTCACAATAGCCAAGATTTGGAAGCAACCTAAGTGTCCATCAACAGACAAATGGATTAAAAAAAATGTGGCTTGGTGTGGTGGCTCATGCCTGTAATCCCAGCACTTTGGGAGGCCAAGGTGGGCAGATCACCTGAGGTTAGGGGTTCAAGACCAGCCTGACCAACATGGAGAAACCCCATCTCTACTAAAAATACAAAATAAGCTGGACATTGTGGTACATGCCTGTAATCCCAGCTACTCCAGAAGCTGAGGGAGGAGAATTGCTTGAACCTGGGAGATGGAGGTTGCAGTCAGCTGAGATGGCCCCATTGCACTCCAGCCTGGGCAAGAAGAGTGAAACTCCATCTCAAATATCTATCTATCTATCTATCTATCTATCTATCTATCTATCTATCTATATAGATATAGATATAGATATATAGATATATATATTATGATACATATACACAATGGAGGTCTATTCAGCCATAAAGAAGAATGAGATCCTGTCATTTGCAACAACCTGAATGGAGCTGGAAGTTATTATGTTAAGTGAAAGAAGCCAGGCACAGAAAGACAAATTTCACGTTACCACTCACTTGTGGGAGCTAAAAATGAAAATAATTGAACTCACAGAAATAGAAAGTAGGAAGATTGTTAACAGAAGCTGGGAAGGGTAGTGGGGGTGTGGAGGAGGGGAAGTGTGGATGGTTAATGGGTACAAAAAAAAGTTAGCAAGAATGAATAAGATCTCATATTTGTTAACATAACAGGGTGACTACAGTGAAAAATAATTTGATTATACATTTTTAAATAACTGAAAGGGTATAATTGGATTATTTGTAACACAAAGAATAAATGTTTGAGGTGATGGATACTCTATTTACCCTGATGTGATTATTATGCATTGCATGCCTGTATCAGTGAATCACATGTAACGCATAAATATAT